>NC_000009.12:98675097-98826612 GCF_000001405.40 Homo sapiens
GAGCTCTGACTCAGAGGGAAGGGCCTTTTCTAGTTCCCACACCAGGTCAAACACATGGAGAGTGAACGCAGATATGTTTTCACCTGCCATGAAGTGGGAACCAAGTGGTGACTTCCCAGCAAGCACGGCAGGATGGCAATGGTGCTTTGGTCAGTGGCCAAAGCAGGAGCCACCATGGATGGAAGAGGCTTGAAGGAGGAGGAACCAGAGGAAGGCAGGCCAGGTGAACGGCTGTGGCAGGTGCCCTAACCACAGTGACAAGTCCTGGGCCAGTTCCATGAGCAGTGAGGCTATGAAGAAAGGCTAGGAGTGAACACCATGAGATCTGGAAACATGAAGGGAGTCAGCGGACACAGGGGAGGGCCAAGGAAAAGGAGTGGTTAGAGATGACGCCAAAGCCCTCAGCTTGTGTGATCAGCATGAGGACAGTTCTGGAAAACTAGGAGAACAAGCCACATTTGCAGCCTCAGATAATGGGCTCAGTTTTAGCTGTGTAGGGCTATGTGTCTATTCTGAAGGTGGGAGTGGGTGAGTGGAATCCAGGAAGGATGTGAAATTAACAGTAACAAGTGTGGACAGCTAATCTGCACTAGGGGCCTCCTCTTCATTTCCCTTGCCCCAGATTGAGAGTCTATGCACTTAAAGATCAGCACTGGATATCCGCCACCTTTTGCTTTGTATAAAGAGATATTGGTTGAACCAATGAAGTTCAGGGTGGTATGGAGGAAGGCAGGCAATACTCCACCAAATGTTGCTGTATTCAACATTTCCAGAGCATCTGTGTGGCAGGCATTAAGAAGACACTCCTCTGACATCCTTTCTCCCTTTCCTTCTTTTAGTAATAAAACCTCTTCTCACCTGTAATAGATAGAACAAAGCACACCCCCCCAAATATATCCATGTCCTAATGCCAGAAACCTGTGGATATGTTACCTTGCATGGCAAAAGGGATTCTGCATATGTGACTAAGAATTTTGAGATGGGGAGATTATCCTAGACCCAGATAGGTTTGATGTAATCACAAGGGTTCTTATACGTGGGAGGCTAGAAATCAGAGTGAATAGCAAGAGATGTGACAACAGAATCAAGAAGCTTGAGTGATGCAAGGAAGGGGCCATGTGCCAAGGAATGCAGGTGACCTCGAGAAGTTGAAAAAAGCAAGGAAATGAATTCTCCCTTCAGAGCCTCCAGAAGGAATCAGTCCTGACAAGCTTTTGACCTTAGCAAGACTCATTTTGGACTCCAGACCTCCAGAACTATAAGATAATAAATTTGTGTAGTTTTAAGCTATAAGTTTGTGGTAAATTTTTATAGCACCAATAGAAAACTAATATGCCACACCATTATCTAGCTAGAGATTAAATGTAACCAGCTTCCTTTGCAGCTAGGTATGACTATGTGACAAATTTCTGAAATGGGATTGAAAAGAAGTGACATGTACAACTTCTAGGCCATCTTCAGCTTTAGGACAAGTTGCTTGCTCTGGATTTCTGCAATTTTTTTCCCTCTTTTCCCCTTCTGGTGAGCTAAAACACAAATGTGGCAGGGACCCTATTGCAACTACTTCAATGAGGGCAAATCCTATAGCACGATGGGACAACAAGAGTTAAGGAACTCAGATCCCTGAATGACCTTGTGGAGCAGAGATGTCTGGACCAGCCATAATGTTGACTGAGGGAGAAATAAGTGTTCAACTTACTGAAGCCGCTGTATTTTTGAGCCTCTTTTTTACAGCAGCTTACATGTAACCCAAACATACTGACTAAAGGAAGTCCCAATTTAGCTGGACAAACACAGAAACAGATCTTTACACTATTATAGGATGAATGCTTTGATACAGAGATGGGCAAGGTGCTCTGTGGGCACAGAAGTCTCTTGTGATGCAACTGAAAGAATTCCAGATTGGGACCTGGGACCTCAGATGGCCATCCACTCAAGCTATGCCCTCAGCCTCAACTTCCCCTGCCTTACAGGCCCATAAAACAACAGTGGTAGCACTAAAGATGAAATAATCTTTTCACATAGCCAAGAAGACTACTGCACTATTTGGAGCCCAACTGCACTACCGTTGCCCAAGTCTTACCATCTGCAGCAGTTATTTTCAGCTCAAGAAGATAGGTCTGGGCCACTTGCACGCCTCCAGACCCAGGCTCTTGACCAAAGGGAGGTGTCTGGCAAACTGCACACTGGCCAGCCCCCAGACAGCTGAAGGCTTGATCCAGACAGCAATCAAGTCAAAAGCGAAGAGCCCTGGTCATTGGCTTTTCACATATTAATAACTGGAGGATACCTGAGACAGGTTTACAACATCTTATAGGCATTCAAGCAGTTTTGCTGATTTTTCAGAATTTTTTTTCTGGTCCTCATGGTGGTTATTGGCTATGTATTCTCTCTTTAGATCTTGTTCATTTTCAGCCAATTGTGCCTGCTCTGCCAAAAAACTTTTGAGAAATGAACCAAAAATACCTAAGAGCAGAGTTTGGAAAATGGCCCTTAGATAAGTCAAATCATGTCATTTCCCTGCTCAAAGTCCTCAAATGTCCCATGGCCAGAAATCCCTATGGGATCATCCCTTCTCTGTCTCACACTTGACCCTGCCCCACTCCATCACTCTGCTCCAGTCCTACGGGCCCTCTTATTGTTCTCAAACTCCTCAAGTACACTAGCCTCAGGGCCTGCAGTGGCTCTCCCTCCAGCCTCGACCTTCACAGGGCTCTCTCTCTCTCCTCCCATCCAATCTCTGCTCCAGCACCATCTCAGAGAGGCCTTCTCTGGACACCAGTTTCAAACAGAAATCACTCACCCGTAAATATTAGGGCCTGACTGTCCTTTGTTTTTGTTTTTTTTCCTAGTGCCATCACCACTTAACATGTTACCTACCTAGCTAGCTATCTAAGATGTATTTATTTTTGCATTGTCTGTCTCCTTTATCAGCACGCAAGCTCTCTGGACGGAACTCTCGTTTTGTTCATTGATGTACCCTCCCTCAACCCCCACTGTCTACAACCTATAATAAATGGTTAATATTTGTTGACTAAATGAAGAGTGCACCAGAATTACCAATACATGGAAATCCAGTACTGGGGAGTACTGATTTTTCTTTTTGCCAACTCATTATTTTGGACCTAATTTTCACCTTGATCATATTGTTTTCATCCTGCTTTAGAACAATTTGTTTTCAGCCAAAACAACTAGAACTATCCTGGGGACACTACCAACCACTGCCAGCTCTAACCACTGGCACCCTAACCGCTTATTTACTTAGAAAGCAAGTCTAATTTCCCAAACATATAGAATGCGCCCCAACGCGGTGGCACCTTTCCTGCGAGGTGCTTCGCTGGAAAGCCTGCCCCTGCTGGCAGCTGGCAGAATCTTGAGGTTGGTAATACAGGAGACCAGCAAGGCTGTAATTAGCACTTGACAAGCACTTTATGTCCCGCAATTTAAATGTCTATGGCATTGTAATTCAGTTCCTAGTTGAGGCAAACATGATACTAACCTCATCTGGAAAACGGGATGAAATGAAATGTCTCCTCACATTTATGGCCTCCTAATTAGTGCATACGGGGAGGTGAAGCTCCCCAGCCATCCCACCTCCAAATTTTCAGAGTGCTTTCTCTTTCACATCCTCCTAAAATTCATGCCAGTGACTGAGCCTGCACCCATGGGCTCCAATACATGTTGACTGAGTACCTACTGCAGGGAAGACTGATAATTTCCTATGGTTGTTTCTATGTAAGGTTTCTATACAGTTGGGAATGAATGACTGTCTATGATGGTCTTAAGGACAGTTCTTGACTTCAAGGTGTTTATGGTCCACCTGCCTGCAGAAATAATTCTGAAATGCAAATCATTTGTATGGAAGAGGCTGAAAAAGCATTTAATAAAATTCAGCCCTCATTTCTGATTTTGAACAAAGCCCTCTTAGCAAATGGGAAAGAGGATACCTCCAGGACATGACAAAGTCTGCTGCAAATAGCCAGTACCCCAAGCAGTAGGCAAACAGCAATCATTCCATCAAACTCAGGATGTAGACAAGAATGTGGATGCTCATGACTTCTGCCCAGTCCAGTCCCCAAAGATGACGACAATTCAATCCATGGACAAAGAGGCAAGATTAAAATATTGGAAAGGACAAGGCAGAAGTATTGCTACTTGCATACAATATGACTGTCTTCCTGGAAAAACTCAAGGAAACCTGTGAGAAACCACAGGACCAATGAGAATGCTCTATAAGGCAGCTGACTAGGAAAGTGATATTCACAAATCCAAGTTTTCTCCACACCAGCAATAGTTAATTAGAAAATACCTGTGGAGAAGAGAAGCCACTATAATAGCAAAAGAATATCACTCACAATAGTGACAAAGATTAAAACACTGAGTAATTAACTTAATGAAACAAGTAGAATTTCTATGAAAAGGGCTGTAATGATTGGAGCTGCTCAAGAATATTTGTTGAATGGATGGGATAGCCTTCAGGACACACTATCCCCAAATCTGGCACCTTGGCATTTGAGAAAACAGCAGTACCAGGAAGGCCATTCTCACCTTCCTCACACCCTTCTCCCCTGGAGCAGGTCATAAAACCTAGGGAAGTCACTCTTTGAGCTTCTCCCGCCCTTTTCTCTTGAAGCAAGTCAGAAGACCCTCATGGAGAGGTGCCCTCTGTATACCAAGGGGAAAGGAACATCCTTATCTCTGAAGACACAGGAGCACAGAGGGGAATCTGAACAAACAGGCCTTGGCAAATTCCTCCCAGTTTATTACCATTAGATCACACTCTCTTTGTCCAATCAACTATCTCCACAACTATCCACTTTTTCATCAAACCTAAGCATAAAAATACACAAGTTTACCTGCATCTTTGGGCCTTTGTTTCCTTATGAAGGCTCCTGTGTCATGTAAAACTTATATTAAATACCTTTGTATATTTCCTCTTTTCTCTTTAATCTATCTTTTGTTATAGGGGCCTAAGCCATGAACCTAGCAATGAGTGAGGGAAAAAACATCTTTTCTTGTCCTGCAAATGAACAACTACGATTTTCTTCCAGAGGCATATGAAACAGGTAAGAATAAAAGAAAAGATGTACCTTACTTCTGAATGTGAAGACTCAATACTGCAAAAAAAAAATTATTCTCCTTTAATCAATTTCTAAGTTCACCAAATTCCAACCAAAATACTAATTCTATTATTATCATTTTATTTATTTATTTATTTATTTTTTTGAGACAGAGTCTCGCTCTGTCATCCAGGCTGGAGTGCAGTGGCACGATCTCGGCTCACTGCAAGCTCCGCCTCCCAGGTTCACGCCATTTTCCTGCCTCAGCCTCACGAGTAGCTGGGACTACAGGCGCCCGCCACTATGCCCGGCTAATTTTCTTTGTATTTTTTTAGTAGAGACGGGGTTTCACCGTGTTAGCCATGATGGTCTCGATCTCCTGACCTCATGATCCGCCCACCTCGGCCTCCCAAAGTGCTAGGATTACAGGCATGAGCCACCATGCCCGGCCTCTATTATTATTTTTAGAACTCAACAAAATGGTTCTAAAGTTCTAGCATAAGAATAAACAGGTGAGAACAGTTAAGACAATCCTTGCAAAGAGAAGGTTCATCATGGAGGAGACTTCCCTTATGAGATATTAAAGTATAATATAAACGTAAGGTGACTTAAATACCGGGACACTGACCCAGAAAGCATCAGACATACCTATGGAATAGAAGTTCAGAAACAGACTAACTATGTATAATGTGTCATTTCAAGTAAGCAGAGAAATGAGTCATTCAACAAATGGTATTGGAGCACTGGATTAACCATTTGGAGAAATATGTATCATTAGAAGTTTACTTTATAAAAAATAGATTAACATAGTAAAGAGTTAAATATTACTGTTGGTGGGACTGTAAACTAGTTCAACCATTGTGGAAGTCAGTGTGGCGACTCCTCAGGGATCTAGAACTAGAAATACCATTTGACCCAGCCATCCCATTACTGGGTATATACCCAAAGGACTATAAATCATGCTGCTATAAAGACACATGCACACGTATGTTTATTGCGGCATTATTCACAATAGCAAAGACTTGGAACCAACCCAAATGTCCAACAACGATAGACTGGATTAAGAAAATGTGGCACATATACACCATGGAATACTATGCAGCCATAAAAAATGATGAGTTCATGTCCTTTGTAGGGACATGGATGAAATTGGAAATCATCATTCTCAGTAAACTATCGCAAGAACAACCAAACACCGCATATTCTCACTCATAGGTGGGAATTGAACAATGAGATCACATGGACACAGGAAGGGGAATATCACACTCTGGGGACTGTGGTGGGGTGGGGGGAGGGGGAGGGATAGCATTGGGAGATATAACTAATGCTAGATGACGAGTTGGTGCAGCGTACCAGCATGGCACATGTATACATATGTAACTAACCTGCACAATGTGCACATGTACCCTAAAACTTAAAGTATAATAAAAAAAAATTTAAAAAGATATTTGTGAAGACATAATTAAGACTACTATAAAATATTTTACCATGACAACTAAATGAATAATTACAACCTAAAAATTATTTTTTATAAAATCAGCTCATATTTTTCCATCTCCTTATGTCACCAATTCCTCTTTTTGATCAAATAAATTCAAGAAAACAATAAAAAAAAGAGTTAAATATTTAAAAATCAAACCATTACTGTAACCAAAAGGAGATATAAGTGGGTTATTTATAAAGCCATGGAGTACTTGCAGGACTTTCTAAGCATGACACCAAAAGCAGAAACCACAAAGATATAAATCCAGCTATGTGAAGATGTTTAAAACCCCTACATTGGGCCAGATGCGATGGCTTATGCCTGTAATCCCAGCACTTTGTAATCCCACTTTGGGGGGTGGAGACAGGCGGATCACTTGACTTCAGGAGTTCAAGACCAGCCTGGCCAATATGGTGAAAACTCATCTCTACTAAAAATCAGCCAGGCATGGTGGCCCGCACCTGTAGTCCCAGCTACTCGGAAGGCTGAGGCAGGAGAATCACTTGAACCCGGGAGGTGGAGGCTGCAATAAGCTGAGATTGCGCCACTGCACTCCAGCCTGGGCAAGACAGGATAAGACTTCATCTCAGAAAAAAAAAACAAAACAAAAAAAAACCCAAAACAAACAAAAAACCGTATATTGAAAAATAATGTAAAATTAAAGGCAAGTGAAAAAACAGGAAAAAATATTTACCACACACGAGATAGGAGATGGATTTTACCATCTTTTTTTTTTTTTTTTTTTTTTTTTTTGAGATAGAGTTTTGCTTTGTGGCCCAGGCTAGACTACAGTGGCATGATCACAGCTCACTGCAACTTCTGCCTCCTGGATTCAAGCAATTCTCGTGCCTCAGCCTCCCAAGTAGCTGGGACTACAGGCGCCAGCCACCACGCCCAGCTAATTTTTATATTTTTAGTAGAGACATGGTTTTGCCATGTTGAAGAGGCTGGTCTTGAACTCCTGACCTCAGGTGATCCACCCACCTCAGCCTCCCAAAGTGCTGGGATAACAGGCGTGAGCCACCACTGCACCTGGCCTGATTTTACCAATCTTAATACATAAAGCAGTTTCACAAATCAGCAAGAAAGAGCTACTCATATTTTAAAAAATAAGCAAGAGATACAAGTCAATTCACTAAAAATGAAAGGCTCATTAAACATTTAAATACATTCAACCTTTCTGATAAACAAAGAAATGCAAAGTGAAAGTTTATCAACTGCCCAATTGACAGAGCTTTTGATTTTGTTTTGTTTGTTTGTTTGTTTCAGAAATAATTCTCAGTCCTGTGCTCTGGGAAAGGGTCTACACACCCACTGCTGTCCAAGGACAGCTTGGCAGGAAGTACAGTGTCAGATTCCAGTGCAGGTCCTGCGGTGGGCTCAGGGGGCTTCATCCCCTCTATGCCACTGCCCAGCTCTGAGGTCTTGGGGAAGTTACTAAACCTCTCTCTTTCCCCCCTCCACCTCCCCCGAGACGGAGTCTTGCTCTATCGCCTAGGCTAGAGTGCAATGGCGCGATCTCAGCTCACTGAAACCTCCACCTCCCAGATTCAATCGATTCTCCTGTCTCAACCTCCCAAGTACCTGAGATTACAGGCATGGGCCGCCATGTCCAGCTAATTTTTCTATTTTTAGTAGAGACCGGGTTTCACCATGTTGGTCAGGCTGGTCAGGCTGGTCTCAAACTCCTGACCTCAAATGATCTGCCCACCTCGGCCTCCCAAAGTGCTGGGATTACAGCTGTGAGCCATTGCGCCCGGCCCAAGTTACTAAACTTCTCTGAGCCTCTGATGTTTTATCTTGAAGGAGGAATAATAACAGCTCCTACCTACGCTATGAAAATTAAACGAGATCATGCATGTAAAAGCCCATAGTAAGCTCTCTACAAATGTCCGAGATGACTACGTGTTAAAATACTTAAATTTTGCATCCCCTCTGGCCCAGCCAATGCTAGATTCTAAGAAACTAATCATGGAGATGCGCATCTATTTTGTTTCCGGGCTGAATGCGGCACCCTTGTTTAGAAGAGAAAAAAAAAACCAACAACTAGAAACAACCTGCATGTTCGACAACAGAAAATTAATCCAGGCCGGGTGCGGTGGCTCACGCCTGTAATCCTAGCACTTTGGGAGGCCGAGATGGGCAGATCACAAGGTCAGGAGATTGAGACCATGCTGGCTAACACGGTGAAACCCGTCTCTACTAAAACTACAAAAAATTAGCCGGGCGTGGTGGCGGGCGCCTGTAGTCCCAGCTACTCGGGAGGCTGAGGCAGGAGAATGACATGAACCCAGGAGGCGGAGCTTGCAGTGAGCCGAGATCTCGCCACTGAACTCCAGCCTGGGCGACAGAGCGAGACTCCATCTCAAAAAAAAAAAAAAAAAAAAAAAAAAAAAAATCTAAATAAATTATGGCCTAGTGGAATTTTGGGAAGCCACTTAAAAATATGAAGTAGAGACTCTGGCAGAGCCAGAAAGCTCTTCAAGATATACAGTAAAAGGAAAAAAGAAGAATGCATTTTACCACGGTAAAAAAAAAAAAAAAAAAAAAAAAAATTGGTTGTGGGGGGTGGGACTCAAGTAACAGCAGCAGATGATCTGAAGTCTATTTTTTTTAAGTCTGATGAAATCACCATGGTATCAACAGTGATTGTGTTAGATAGTCAGGTTATAAGTGATTTGAATTTTCCTCTCTTTATTTGCATTTTCCAAATTTTCTACAAAAAACATAAATTACTTCTATAATAAGATAAAAACACTACTAGTTATCTTTTTTAAAATGCAAACTCTCCAAATATGAAAATAGGAGTTTATTGTTAGGATGATTTTTCAGAAGATGCAAATGTCCTTGTAAGTATGCATTTCCCTTCCCAGCTGGGAAAGGTCCAACCATCAGTGGTGACGGATTCCATTGGCATGATATTGGCTATAATCCAAAGTCCAACCGAAACTGCTCATGATACCCAATGATATCTATCAATTCCTTGGTATATTCTGGAAAGGGGGCTTGTGATTCCAAGATAATGTATCTATCCTAAAACATCAAAACCAAATATTGTGTGATACTCTACTGTAACATTTCCCAAAAGCAGAGTGAAAGCAACATCTATGGTAGAGACAAACTTTACCCCGTCCAAAGCTTCTCTTATTACGGATCTGTATTTCGTCAGCGCAATGGACTCTGCTTGAATTCCCTGCCTCAAGGATGGAATTCTGGGCTTTCCTCAAGGCCAGCTGCTGCATCACCACCTCCTCCCAAAACTGCCCTGATCAAGGTAGAATGAGGCATTGATGTGATGGTTAATATTGAGTGTCAACTTGATTGGATTAAAGGATGCAAAGTATCATTCCTGGGTGTGTCTGTGAGGGTGTTGCCAAAGGAGATTAACATTTGAGTCAGTGAACTAGGAGATGCAGATTCACCCTCAATCTGGGTGGGCACCATCTAATCAGCTGCCAGCACAGCTGGGATAAAAGCAGGCAGAGGAAAATGGAAGGACTAGACTGGCTGAGTCTTCTGGCCTCCATCTGTCTCCCGTGCCGGATGATTCCTGCCCTAGAACATCAGACTCCCAAGTTTTTCAGCTTTTGGACTTTGGGAACTACACCAGTGGTTTGGCAGGGGCTCTCAGGCCTTCGGCCACAGACTGAAAGCTGCACTGTTGGTTTCCCTACTTTTGAGGTTTGGGGACACAGACTAGCTTCCTTGCTCCTCAGCTTGCAGACGGCCTATTGTGGGACTTCACCTTGTGATCATGTGAGTCAATAGTCCTTAATAAACCCCCCTTCATATATACATCTATCCTATTAGTCCTGAACCCTCTAGAGTTCCCTAGAGAATTCTAATATACTTGTTGAATGAATAAGGGCATGAATGATGCTTCAAGCCCTCAGTGCACACCTTCTGATTTAAATTATGAATTATTTCTTTCAGATGTCTATCTCCCCACTAGAATATCAGCTCCAAATGGGCAGGTCTTCTGTTTCTGCATTCTTGGATCTCTTCGTCCCATGACAAACAGTGTCTCCTTGATTAAACTATAGTTTTTGATTTTACTTATTTTATTTTTAAAGACAGGATCTCACTCTGTTGCCCAGGCTGGAGTGCAATGGCACCATCATAGCTTACTGTACTCTCAAAGTCCCAATCTCAAGAGATCCTCCTACGTCAGCCTCCCAAGTAGCTGGGACTACACACACACACACCATCATCCCCAGCTAATTTTTTTTTAAGAGATGAGCTCTCACTCTGTTGCTCAAGCTGTTCTCAAACTCCTGGCCTCAAGCAATCCTCCCGCCTTGGCCTCACAAAGTATCGGGATTACAGGTATGAGCCACTGCACCTAGCCTTGACTAAACTTTAGTCAGGCTCCTCTGATCCTCTTCCCAACTAGGCCTTGACCTTTGGGCTTCCATGTCTTTGCATCATCCAATTTTACCAAGACCCGTGTGAAGCTGTCTTAGCTAGAAACCTTCACCCTTGATATCTGATCAAATCCTCATCCCCCGCCAGCTCCAGGTGATGTCTGATATCTCCCCAGCTGGCCTGCCTTCACCAAGAACCCTGTCTAGTTGGTTCAGCCAGAATCGTCCCTTACCCCTGACATTTCCTCATAATAATTTCCCATCCCTCCCAACCTGCTCTTGGGGTATGGCTCGCCACTGGTCCACGCTGTATTTGGAACTGAGCCCAGTTCTATCTGCACTGGGGTCTCTTTTCCTCTATTGCAATAGTCCCCGAATAAAATCTGTTTTTTTTGTTTTGTTTTGTTTTTGAGATGGAGTCTTTCTCTGTCACCCAGGCTAGAATGCAGTGGGGTGATCTTGGCTCACTGCAACCTTCGCCTCCCAGTTCAAGTGATTCTCCTGCCTCAGCCTCTCGAGTAGCTGGGATTATAGGCATGCACCACCACACCCAGCTAAATTTTGTATTTTTGGTAGAGATGGGGTTTCACCATGTTGGCCATGCTGGTCTCAAACTCCTGACCTCCAGTGGTTCACCCATCTCGGCCTCCCAAAGTGCTGGGATTACAGGCCTGAGCCACTGCACTGGGCCTAAAATCTATTTTTACCTTTTTAACTTCTGTCTGGCTCCGGTTTTCTTTAACAGCCACAAACCCTGCCCCTTGTCCAGGACTCCCAGCTCAGTCAGTGAAGGGTCCACCATCCACAGAGCTTTGGCTCCTTGCTTCCTCCCTGTCACCCCCACAACCCATCAACCAAACACAAGGGTGTCCACAACAGCCCTCCAAGCTCTGCCTCTCCCCAGCCCTGTACTTCCAGCAGAGCCCAGACCACCCTCCCTCAGCAGAGTCAGTGCTTCTAAACAAACAAGACAAAGATCCTCCCTCGACATACTCTGACCTTCCCCTGCACTTTAACCAGGTTTCCTGCCCTGCCTCAACCCACAGACTTCCTTGTCCTCTTGGCCCTCTCCTGCTGAGGGCTGTCAAAGAAGCCAGATCTAGACACTAGTTAAAGCAGTGAAAACAAATTTTATTCAGGATGTTACTGCAACTGGGGGCAAGAGACCTCAGTCTAGACATGGGCTCAGTTCCAAGCAGAATAAGGGCATGTGGGGATTTACAGCCAAGGGGCAGGGTGGGAGGTCACGGACGGAACATTACTATGAGGAAATGTCAGGTGTAAGGGGGAATTCTGGCTGAACCAACCGGACAGGATTCTTGCTGAAGTCAGGCCAGGGAGATCAGACATCACCTGAGGCTTGTGAAGGACGAGGAATTTGATCAGATATCAGGGGTGATCAGATATTCAGGGTGGGGAATTCTCACTCCACTGACTTAGCAGGATTCTTGCTAAAATTGGGTGATGCAAAGATGGACACAGAAGCCCAAAGGTCAGGGCCTGGTTGAGAAGAGGATCAGAGGAGCCTGACTAAAGTTTGGTCAAGGAGAGACTCTGTTGAGGCCAGAGGCCTGCTCTGGGATCTGCTGTTTCCTGCCTGCTCTGGGATCTGCTACCCCATCCCCCAGCCCCCGCTGTGTTCTCCAGCTCCTGACTCTGAGGCTGCCCACCTTGCAATGACTGGATTTCCTACAACCCGGTCTGGCACCATTCCACAGGTCCTTGGCACCACCCACACACAATGTAGAAAGCTTACTGGCTCCACAGGACAGGGGCAATGCTTGGGACCACCTACCAATGCCCAACACAGTGCCTGGCACACAGAGGTCTTGTAATAAACATCTGTAGGAAGGAGGGTGAAGGGGAGGGATCTAAGATGAATCCAAAGCCACCAATGGAAGTGTTTTCTCTCATCTCTGGGCATGTTCGATGGTCTCACTGGGATCACCTTCCCCAGCACATGCCCCAAAGGACACCCCTTCTCAGCAGACCTGGGGGCTCCAGCCTGCCAGGGTAGTCTGAATTTACAGGAACACACACACTGAGCAGCAGACCTCAGCTCCCCTGCCCTCCAGAGATCATAATGAGTCACAGTCAACAAGAGCCTCTGCCTCTTTTCACATCTACTCCCTCTAAGGCTCATTGACTTTGTCTTGTCCTTAAGCAGTTGGTTTTTTGAAACCAAGTGTCCAATGATGCAGTGAATCCTGAAAAAAGAATCTTGGAATCCTGGAGCAATGGGGTGAATGTAACAACAGGAAATTTGTTTTTTGGCTCTGCCACCTCAAATATTTGCTAATCCTCCTATCTCGGCATCATCAGCAAAATTTGATCAGTATGACTTTTATGACCTATCCAAATCACTAATTTAAGAAATAATATGTGGTTTCATATATATATATATATAAAATCTCCAGGCAAAGAACAGAGTCCCATGGACAACCACCACAGATTACTTGCAGATGAATATCTTTTGGGTTTGGAGTTTCAACAATTAACAGATGTGCCTAAATAGACCATCTTTATCTCATTGAAAAATCATTAGATTTTGTCAAATATCTTCAAAGAATTCACATTTGCTAGGACCTAGCTCCCTGATCTAATCAGCCTAGTAATTTTCTCAACAAAGAAAGAGTGGTCAGTCCTGAAGGCCTTGCTCTAAATGAACCCAGGGTGACCCCAGTGATCATCACTTCCTCTCTTAATTGTTCAAAGCACCCTCTGAGCATCCACATTGGAATCATAGCTAGTTATAGTTCCCACTAACCTCCATATCACACTTGTGCAGGCCTCTGTGGACAGCTGGGAGGGGCGTTCCAGGGAAGGGTCCTGGCCAGGTGAGCCAGGCAACACAAGGAGCATCTGCTGGTTCTAGAACAGGAGAGTGCAAAGCGTGATGGAGATAAGAAAGAGCCCGATCTGAGCCAGATATTGATGTTGCCCAACTGTCTCAGAAAAGGAAAGCACGTTCAGGACAGATAAGCCAAAGGCAAGGGCAAACTTCTGGAGGAGGTCACCACTATCATGAAGACTCCGGTTCTAGTCCCAGCCCTATGCCATCCTATTGTATGGCTTTAGCAAGTCAAGCCTCTCTCCTTCTCTGGGCCTCAGTTTTCTCATGTGTAAAATAGAGATAATGATCAGATTATCTATGGGAAGGCAGGTAACTGCACCAGTTGATTTCTTGAGGTCCCTTTGGAAGCCAGACACAAGACAGTGGTGTATAACGTTTAGGGATGTGGGCCCTGGAACCAGACTGCCTCAGTTTGAATCCCAGCTTACTAGACATGTAACTTTAGGCAGGTTATTGAAACTCTCTGTGCCTCAGTTTTCTCATCTGAAAAATGGGGGCAATAACAATGCTTACCTCCTAGGACCTTGGTGAGAAGTAGATGATTTACTACCTATAAAGTCCTTAGAAGAGGCTAAGACTGGGGAATGTGTTTGCTTTGACAATGCTGGCGGTGCTAATAGTAGGATATACTGCATTTTCACTTAGACAAGCTCATGCCTGTGCCTAGTGCATGTAGACAATAACCCAGGATTCCCACATTCCAGGTTTCTGAAGGATCTTGTACAGCTCCAAACAAGAGGAGCTGGACTGCAGAAAGCAGCTTTTGCAGCAAGTAAAAAAGCCAGGATCGTCCTCTATCCCCGACGTCTCTGACCAGCTTTTCTTCAAAAGAGTCAAAATGACAGGGTTTATGGCACGGTTATGTTCTTCCTAACGCTATTATGTCAGTTATCATTACATATACCATACAAAGATCTGAACGCTTTTAAATTGGTTTCTTATACACATCCAAACCACACAAGAAACTCTTTTCAGGATATATTTATCTGTTTTTTCATGTGGGCCTTAAATCTACTCTGACATTCTGACTTCTGACTTCTGACTATAGAGAATGAAAGAGTCCAACTGCCCAATTTCTTCCCTGCAAAGTGACTTAAAAACAAAAATAGATAGCTCAATCTTTCCATCTACTGCCCTATTTCCTCCTAAAACTGAAATGAGACCTACTTTAGTCCCCATTATCGTTGCAACACTGCTTCTTCTGCAGCTTCCATGATTTCCTCCTTCACACGTTCAGACACCTATCACAGCAGGGCTCTCATGGAAACACTCAGCAATCCCAGATATGCCTTTCTTAACTTTGGTCAAGGACTTTCCAGTGTCATTATCTAATTTAAGCATAAAATCACCCTGAGAGAGGTTGGAGCAGGTGCCTTTCCCCATTTTACAGGTGAAGAAACTGAGTCTCAGAGAACCCAAATTTCAGGAACCAGGACCAAGCCTTCCAAGATCCAACCCCGTATTCTGAACACATCCTTCCTTTCCCCAGGGCTCCCCCAAAGCCATTACAGCTCTCTTTTGCTAAACACCTAAAACTGATTTATTTTTGGTATAAATCCAATTTCATCTTTATACATCAGCTTCTTTATCAGTGATTGTGAGAAAACCACTGTATTGCTCTGTTCAGAATCTCTTTCATCCAAATGTGTAGAGAAGGAATAGCCCGCCCTTCTCTGCCCAAAGAAGAAGTCATGTTTGGCAGGTAGCAAGGGGCTGGAACCTGGCAGGTCTCAGAAGGAAAGCCATTCTGCATCTCAGCTGGGAACCAAGACCATGATCCTCTCAAGAGGGGCTGATTAATCCCTAGAATCCAGAATGACAGTGGCCCCCGGAGTGCTGCTGTCCAAACCCAGGACTTAGCCCATCAGGGAATAAAGGAGAAACCCAACCCAGACCAGATACCCTGCCACACTCTGAGAGAGACAGGTCCTAGGGACCAACTGTGTGTGCACCTGCATCAAAAGGGCAACTTCCTCTGCAGCCAGACTGGCTGCCCATCAGCCAGAGGGACAGCCTGGGGAAGTCAGCACCAGCCTTCTGCCCTGTGACTGCACAGCCAGGCCTGCCAACCTGGCCTCTCACTGCTGAGTTCCACAACAGTTATATCAGCACAGATCACTGCTACTCACTGCTTCCCTTCATCAAGAAAGCCATTAAGAGAAACATAAAGTTGATTGCATCTATTATGTCCACCTACAGACTCAACTTAGAGTAAGCTTTAAAATCCCTCCTGGGCCCTCTTCAAGACCCTGAGTCATTTTTTGATTGTTAAAATTAGAATGATCTGAGGGCAGACTCACTCCCAAATCTAAGTGATGTCAAACAAGGATGGGTCCCATTCCCATTCAGTGTTATCAGGCATCCGTGGAGTGCCTAGCTCCAGCTGGGGTGTTTGAGAATACATACTCTCATCCTAGCCTCACGGACAAACCCTGCAAGGCAGGTAAACTCATCTCCCTGTTGCACAGGGGGAATGACAGGCTCGATGAGTTACAGGGCTTGTCACCCCTAGGAAGTGACAAAGCCAGGGTTTAACTCCAAGTCAGCCTAATCCACCTTTCTTGCCCTGTGTCCTAGTCTTTGCAATGTCCCTGGAGGTGACCTTGCCCAGCTCTCCGTTGACTGGGGGGTTGTGTTCTCCAGCCTTGGCCAATAGGAAACTCTTTGCCGACAGCAAGGCTAGAAGCCAGGACTTTGCGGAGGCCCTTGGTGAGCACTGATTGATTAAGAAATGTGCTTTCAGACACTGCGGGCCCAAAGGTGACTGTTTCCCAGGCCGTTCAGCTCTCTGTCCACAGTGTCTCTTGCGGTCAGTCACCTATGTGCTGGCCACATCTGAATGGCTCAGCATTATCCCCTCAAAGTCCTACCTTCCAAGCTTTGCTTGCACAATTCCCTCCTCCCACAGGGTACTTCCCACATCTTCTACCTCCTGTCCTTCAAGGCCAGCTCAAAGGTTGCTTGCAGTGAAAGGCCCTTCCAGGTTCCACCCTGTGAGAATTCAATTCACCACCTCCTCTTTGTGCTGCTGGAGTTCTTACTGGAGCCTCTGCTAAGAGGATCTTCAAATCTCCCTCACAGCATTTTTGTATTTGACACTATTATGACACTTACTATGTATCAGGCAGTGGCTGAAGTCTTCAGCAGTCACTGATAACTATCAGTTTTGGTAGCCGTCCTGTGAAGCAGGTACTATTATTATCACCCCATTGTACAGAGAAGAACACTGAGGCACAGGGAGATAAAGTGGCTTGCCCAAAACTAACACAGCTAGTAAGTGCTCTTACCAGGGTCACTTGCTTGCATGTGAGTGGCCTACATTGTCCTGTGAGCTCCCTAAGGGCAGAGGTCACACCCGAGTCAAGTTTGGATGGCCCAGGGCGTGGCAGGAGGCAGGTGCTCCAAGCTTGCTCCTGAATGGAACTCAGTGTCCAGCATGAGGTCACCTCCCCTGTGTGGCAAGCTGTGGTGGCCAGCAGTATGGATATTAGTCCACCCAACATCCAGCCACTCTGAGCGCCTCCCTGGGCCACCTTTAGTCTTTCTTGAAGTGCTTAGGAGGATGAAATAGAAAGTGCATTCTCGTCCATGAAGCCAACAGTGTCTACACATACAGCTCACCATCTATAACCTTCTACTCTCTCCGGGGCTTGGCCTAAGGGCCTTCGGGAACAGCCATGATAGGTGACTCCCGGGAGTCTGGCTGGATCCTGGGACCCCAAACAGCAGGACCACAGACCCCATCTGGCTGGACTGTAGCATGCCTGGCCGCTGTGGGTGGTGCCAAGGGCACTGGGCTCAGAGTCGGGCCAACTTAGACTCGCTGCCTCACACCCCAGCTCACCATGCAGATCCACAGTTTCTCCAGGTATGAATGGGACTAAGGGCAAGAATTCTTCTTTAGTTGTTTAGTTGTTAAAATAATACCAACAACTAAACAATGAGAATTACAAATGCTGTGCAGTGCTAGAGTTGACTATTTCTTCCAAATGCCTCATTCAGTAACACCCTGGTAACAGAGGAACCATTTTATAAGAACTAAATGAGACACCAACTGCCCTTCAGACTTAACCGGGTCGATACAAATGACATATTCCTTGGAATGCTCAAAGAAGAGATGGGGGTAGGGCAGTCTGGGCTTTCTCTTGGCAATACTTGGCCCAGTTCTCCCTCGACCCCCGGCGTGGCCTATGTTGATAGATCAGCGAGTGTTCCTCACCCGGACACCTCGAGGTTCCTCAATCCCAGCCTCTAAGCCAGGCTTAGCTGCCACCCTCAGCTCCCTTCAGCTCTGCCTTGCTACCATGGCCTCATCAGAAGCCTGAGGTCTCCTCTGAAACCAGGATGAGGTCCTGCCCCCTGATGAGGTCAATCTTGGGACAGAGGCCCCCATTCTCCAGGGCCACCCACTCAGGGCCAAAACAGAAAGTGAGGGTTTCAGTCCCGGGCATTGAGCAGTTTCCATGTGCACTGATCTACACAGATGCCATTCCCGGGCCCCTCCATGTCCTCAGGTGGTAGCAGGGGGCTCCAGTATCAGCTATATCTCTAAACTAGCCTTGCCCTCAGCAGCCCATGCTCTGGCCCCCACTCAAAGCAAGGTCTCCCTTGCAGATCATTTTGCCTTTCCTGCCAGCAGGCCCCACTACATCCTAACAGTTTCAACCCCAGAGGCTGGGAGTCACTCTCATTCCTTTCCCTCCCAGAGGACCCACTGTTCTTTAGACAACATGGCCATTGATCCTCAATGACTTGAAAGCTTCCTAAGGGGAGGGGCTTTAGAATGTCATCTGAATACGGAGCCAGACCAGAGCTCAGAGCTGACCCTGGGCCTCTCCATCTCACAAGTTTTAAGCTCTTTCTACTACACCTTGCCACTATCCAGGTGCACATATGAAAGCAGCCATGCAGTGCCCAGCACATAGTAGGGATTCAATAAGGACCTGTCCCTGTCATTTTGTTTTCTCCATTGTGGACACAAGGTTGGAATTAGGGCCTTCCAGGCCACAGCATGCAGAGAATTCTGAGCAGCCAGGTCAAAGCCCATCTGATGGTTAAAAACCCAGTGTCCAAAGGAGCCTGGCTGCTCTCCTTTTGAGGAGGAGGTAGCCAGCTAGCAACTGTTGCCCCCAAACTCTCAAGCCAGATTCATCATTTCCACACTGCCTGGCCCAGAACCCTGAGATCTCCACCAAATACTTGTATATCTCCTTGGAGAAGTCAAAGCTCTTTCTGGAGAAAATGAAAACGCCCAGCACACAGGCATTCCAGCCGCCCACTCCTGGGCTGCAGTGGACTGGCCCAGTCTGGGTATTTCATATTTTAAGCTGGTGGGCTAGGCTCTCCCCCAGCCACCCAACTAGCAACCCCCCATGATTTGAGGTCTAGGCCCCGCTGATGGCCAGGATCCCAAATTGATGCTTACAGAAGACAGCCCTCACTAACTTTCATGCTCCCAAGTTTCTGCCCTGAGACCCCTGATCAATAGCCTGGCAGTGGATGGCCTTGGGCCTGACACCTGCCAAAGACAGATGATTGGTTTTTGAAGACATTTGACAGTTGAGAGGAAACACGTTAACTACCTCTTGTTCTAGATTCTTCGGTAAGACAGCCTGCTAGGGTCACAGAACCTCAGTTCCCTGAAGAACTGCTTTCAGAGTGTTATAATCTAATACTGTGTCCTCCTTTATTAGGGGGTTAAATGATCACTCACATGAATGACATCGCTATGTCTTCTATAAAGATGTTATTGGAAATATCCAATGGTCCTGAGAGAATGGCCCAGAATTAATTACTCTTTGTGTTTAGTTTCGGGCGTATTTTATATCTGCACCACTTTACAGCTTCTTAAAGCCCTTTCACATTAATCTTATTTCTCTCCCTTCCTCTCTCTCTTTCTCCGATCTCTATAATAACTCTATGAAAAAGCAGAGCAGACATTACTATTCTCATTTTATAGGTGATAAAACTAAGGTGCAGAGAAGTTAAATGACTAGCTCAAGGTCATCCATTAGAGAGCATCAGCATTGGGTCACCCATGTAGAATCCAGAGCTCTTTCCACTGAACTGCCCTGCCTCTAACCTAAAAGATTTGTCTCTGGAGCCTAAAAGGAAATGTGTCCTCATCACACAGGAACATCAGAGCATCTCTCTCTTGCCTTCAAATCCAGTGTTCAACTGGAACAATCCATTCCTCACAGATGCCTGATAACATCTTCTCTGTTCCACTTAGGGGCCCAGTTCTGATTTTTATCCAAAATTGTTCTGTTTTACCTTGTGTTTAGCATCACTCATGCGAAACACATTTGCAAGGCACCAGGGGCTGTGCTGGGTGCTCCAGACACAGAGACCTTCATTCACTCACAAATATTCTGGAGTACCTGCAGGCTCTGTCCTGGGCTTTGGGGCATGGCAGACACCAAACAGATGCTGTGCCTGTCCTCATGGACTGGCCCAGCTCATAGCCTGGCGGGGCAGTGAACAATAACCAGTAGTGATTATAAAGCAGAGTTATAAAGACTTCACTGGAGACACCAGCCCCAAGGGCCAGTGGATGGTTCACCACTGAGCTCTCAGCGCACCTCAAATCCTTCCAGAAATGGATGGGGCTTAAAAACACCCCTTAACTTAAAAATCCCATTCAGTGAAGCTCAGACACAGATCACAACTTCTTCATTGGCCTCAAACACACAGTCCCCCACTGAAATAAGAACGAGTTTTTATGCTGCTACACAGCATTTCACATTTTCATATGCATTATAATAAAATGATAACAGTAAAACTTAGTATAAAATCTAGTCAGTGTGGATCCCTGTGCTCAATGCTTTACATGAATGTTCCAGGTCAACCCTCAAAATAACTCTCTCACAGAGTATCATCCCCATCTCACGGACAAGGACTCTGGGGCTCAGGGGACAGGCAGTGTCAGCATGCACACACAGGTTGACCGATGCCCAGTGTCTTTCTACAGTGTCCAGCTGTCTCCCCCACACCCCACAGGCACTGAAAAACAAACTAGCATGCCATTTATAAACATCAAGATTGGCCTCAGAATCCTCCAGCCTTCACTCAGTCTCCAAATAGTTACTGAGCACCTACTATGTGCTAGAAAGTGTGCTGGACATTATGGTGAGCCAAAACAAACCAGTTCTTGCACTCATGGAGTTCACAGTCCCCTTGTGAAGCAGGAGGGAGACCAATAGGGATCAAATAATCCAACAAAAGTTAACTTGCGGCTGTGATAAGCAGTAGAAAGGAAAGTTCATGGTTCTTAGAGAAAACGTGATAGTGGATTTTGCCTAATCGGGGAGGACAGAGAATGCACACTTGATCTAGGATTTAAAAGATGAAGAAAGGTGGCAAGAACATTCCAGGCCACAGTAACAGCTTGTGCAAAGGCCCTGTGCAGGGAGGAGCACACTCATCCAAGACACAGAGAGGACCATGTGGCTGGGCCTGAAGAAGAGAGGGAGAGTGCTCAGCAGCAATGCTGGGAGTGGGCAGGGCAGACTCCAGAGGGCTTGCAAAGCTGTGGGAGAAGCTGTGTTCCCACCCCAAGAACAATGGTGAGTCCCTGCAGGGTATCAAGCTGGGAGGCCGCTGGACTGGTTTGCTGGGTCAGTGGTCTTAATTGTCTTCTGTACCTGGGGGTGCCCATCCACACCATCACACTCCTCATGCTGCATGGTAACGATCCCTGGGCCTCCTCCCCCACGTGCCTTTGAAAGCACAGCTATTTTGGAGTTATCTCCCTACACTGTGTAACAAACCCAGAGCCTGGCACCAAGTAGGTGCTTAGCAAGTATAGCCTAAATTCATAAAGGAAGCACCACTATTACCCTTGAGATGATCCGAGTCTATCAGGAGACACACTCAGACATAAACACTGCCATCCTGAGTAAACACAACCGAAGGTGACAAGTTCTGCAAGCGACAAGTTCTCCAGGTGCCAGGGGATAGAGAGCAGATCTGTGTGAGTCAGGTGTGTGGACAGACATTTAAAGTGAGTAGAAAGTGCAGGGTTGGCTGTATATGACTGAGTGGGTGGACAGAGAAATGGGAGAGGGTGGGGTTGAATCCGAGGGAGAGGCAAGCAGTTGGGGGTGAAATTTGCAAGCAAAAAAAGCATTGCCGCTTGTTTTTATCGGAGAAAAAAAACTTGCCGCTTGCTTTTATGGGAGGAAAATAACTATATGAAGATGGTGGTTTACTCAGAGCGTAAGCTGCAGAGATCAAAGTCAGACCATCCAGACTTCAAATCCCAGCTCGACACTTGGTTGGTTGTGATGTTAAATACGTCACATAAGCTCTCTAAGCCTCATCTGTAAAATGCAGACAATAAGAGCAAGGACCGCCGGGCGCGGTGGCTTACGCCTGTAATCCTAGCACTTTGGGAGGCCGAGGCAAGCAGATCACGAGGTCAGGAGATGGAGACCATCCTGGCTAACACGGTGAAACCTCGTCTCTACTAAAACTACAAAAAATTAGCCGGGCGTGGTGGCGGGCGCCTGTAGTCCCAGCTACTCGGAAGGCGGAGGCAGGAGAATGGCGTGAACACGGGAGGCGGAGTTTGCAGTGAGCGGAGATGGCGCCACTGCACTCCAGCCTGGGCGACAGAGCGACACTCCGTCTCAAAAAAAAAAAAAAGAGTAAGGACTTCATAGGACTGTAGTGAAGACGAAATGAATGAATGCTGCAAAGCACTGACATAGGTGCCGACATATAGTAAGCACTGGATAAAGGTGAGCTACTGTTGTTCTAGTTTCTTTTTCTTCATCTACCCACCTGCAACTAAATGTTCCTATTTCCTTTTCCTTTGATTATGACCATGACATTTAGAAGCTCTCCAAGGGCTTCCCAAAGTTTCTAGAATTCCCAGAGTCCAGGAAGGACCTCTGAAGGGTTACTTGGGCTCCAGAGGATGCTTTGTGGAGTGACAACCAAGCCAACTCTCCCTTCCATCAAAGCCAAGGCACTCTCAGCTGGACTGGGCGGGGGCATTCGCATGGGCTCTGGTCATCTGCCCCAGAGTGGGCATGCGGGTCCCCATCTGCCACTTACATCCCTGAAACAACTCTGGGCATTTTTCAGAAAGGCTTCAGTGAATGGTAGTTCTAGAAACAAGACGATTTGGATAATACAGTGATGATTATTATAAGTATGGCTGTTGCTTTCAAAATCAGTTTTCTCTGAACAAAGTCAAGTGGATCATAAGAAGAGTGTGAAAAATATCATTTTTCTCTGTGCCACCTCCTGACCCTGTACCATGAGAGCAGCAATAATGCATCACTCCACAAAGTCCTTCTTTGGCTAGATTTTATCTGAACAGTGACTGATGATGTCCTTGCCAAATGGCAGGAGAAGGGGGTCTGCTTCCGCCAGCAGCTGTGGAACACGGGCATTGATGAAGACAGATGAGTCCACGCACTCAATACTTTGGATCTACCACTAATTTTCTAGATGACAATGACACTTCATCCTTCCAGCAATGCAGACTACTCTAAAAAAATCAGAAAGGTAGAAAATCGGCAAAAGAATGCCCCCATCAGCCCAAAAAAGTGTTCAATATTCATTCACACAGGCAAGAATTTTCAGACTCTTAAACTCCAGCTCATAACCAATGTACTCTTACTTTATGCACAATTCTTTTTTTTTTTTTTGAGATGGAGTCTCATTCTGTCACCCAGGCTGGAGAGCAGTGGTGTGATCTCAGCTCACTGCAACCTCCACCTCCCAGGTTCAAGCGATTTTCCTGCCTCAGCCTCCTGAGTAGCTGGGATTACAGGTGCGTGCCACCACACCCAGCTAATTTTTGTATTTTTAGTAGAGACGGGGTTTCACCATGTTGGTCAGGCTGGTCTCGAACTCCTGACCTCGTGATCCACCCGCTTCGGCCTCCCAAAGTGCTGGGATTACAGGCATGAGCCACTGCACCCAGCCTTTACTCACAATCTTGGTTATCTAGTTTGGGGTCCAGACCTATTCTGTCACCATCAGGGAGACGGTCCCTTTCAAGCTGAGCATACCCAGTTCCTGAGTTAGTCCTGGCCATAGAAGAATAAAGAGCAGAAGCTTCTGACCCAGGAGCAGGGAGCCTGGAAGAAGCCTTGCTATTAGGGGATTCCAGGGAACATATTTTCTCACTATGCCCAGATCTGCACTGGACCACCTGACTCACCAAGGCTGATGAACTGGCTTCATTCCCACAATTTCTGCCAGGACCAGAGCCCAATCTAGCCTCCTTTGGCTCTCGTGCTCTCTGGAGGCGAGAGTGAGATATCAGAACATGTTTCCTAAGTCCTCCGTCCACTGGTTAGCGTATTGCTCCAATAAACTGACCTCCTAAAACCATAATGCTTCTCAGAAGCCGGAAAGTATTTATTTCCTAGGTTTTGATGTACCTTGGAGGATGGTGCATATATTTGTCAGAGACGAAGAAAATGACATCAGCTTTGCACCAAATCTTCTATTGGAACACCCAAGCACCCTTTCCCCTTTTACACCACAACTACAGAGCCCCCAAAAGCACTAAATAATAAGAACCCGAAAGAATGAATAAAGAGCAAGCAGAAAGCTCACCCTCACATGGCTTGGCATACAAAGCACTTACTCCATTTGTTAAAACTCTGCCCATTAATCCTCTTAGAACTGGAGAGCTGGAATCCAGGCTTTTAGATCTATTTGTTCGATAAATATTTATTGAGCTCCTGCTCTGTGCCTGGCCCTGAGATAGTGCCTAGGGGGACCACAGAGGAGCCAGACACACCCAGTGCCTGCCCTTTTGGTGCTAACAGTGGAGTGGGGATCCTCGATTAGTGCTGCAATTCACAGAGAACAGCAAAGACTTCCCTGTGGTCTCAGCAACTAACCCAGCACCAAACCCAGATGCTGACCCTATCTGGGGCTCATACACTCACGGTTTCAGCCTGGCTCCTCTGTGCATCCCTAGAAAGCCAGGTACAGACAGGAAGGCATTTCACCAGCCTCACTGTGCACTGTTACATAACGCTAGAGAAGAAGAAGAAAAGAAAGTAATAGAATGCAGCTGCTTACTGGGCAAACTATGCCATTTAATTTCCTCACCTTCCTAAAACCAAAATAAGTAACAAAAAAGTTAGAGATAAGAAGTCACTTACATTTTACTCCCAAACAACATGGAGGATGACCAACCAGGTGCCTGGAGAAGGGGAATGCCTTCCCTTCCCCCACATCCTCTGCTAACCCCTCCTGTGGCTGGGCTATACCACGTGTAATTGTTTTTGTCTATCTTGATCACCTGTTGGACAGTGAGCTCCTCAAGGGCAGGATCTGTGTTTCATCCAGCTCTGTATCCCAGAGCCTAGAATAGGGCCAGGTGTAGTAAGTAGTAGGGCATTGTAGAAGAAACAGGCAGTGTCTGTGGCAGCCAACCAAGTAGGCCCCACCCTCCTTTAAAGAGAGAACCTACAGGAGGAGATGCAATCAGCTAATGGTCATCAGCTGCAACACCTTTAAGACCTGCCACAGCCTTCAAGCTAAGAGCAAAATCTCCCAAGGCAGACCTCAGCCAATCACTGAGTTGGGTGGGGATTCTAGAGCCTGGCTCATTGGGTCTGATAGGAAACTCATGTAATGGATAATCTTGGCTCTGGAGCTCTTCCTACCCGACTCTCCTTCCTTCCCCGTCTCCTTCCACAGGTGTCAGAACAGCATCATGGACAGAGCATTTCCCTACCTATTCTTTTATCTTTCACAGGGATGGCTTCCAAGATCTCTTATGCTTACAAGTCTATCTTGGCATCTCCTTCCTGAAGGACCCCAATTGACAAGTGTCCATGGCATCCATATGCTCCTTATGTTTCCCAGCCTCCTCTGTAGTTAGGCTGGCCATTGACTATTTCTGGCCAGTGGAATATGGGTAGAAATAATATGTGTCACTTGCAAGTGAAGGTGGTTAAAAGTCCAGTGTGCCTTCCCTCTGGATTCTTCCCTATCCCCATCTTCCTGAAGCCTTAAGATGGGAGACTCACAATACAAAAGTGGCCTGGCTCCTCGCGTTACCACCTGGAGGAGAGCCACCCAGGACGACCTCTGACACACTGGACTTTGTGTGGGCAATAAATAATCTTACTGTGTTAAGCAATTGAGATTTCAGGATTTGTTTGTTAGTGCAGCATAGCCTCACCCACCCTAACTAACAAAAGACATATATCCTAGATACTATCCATTTAGTACCCCTGTTGGATCGTTATCTTGTGCTTCCAGCTTGCTAATTTCCCTGCTGACATCTCAGACCTCTGTATGAAGAAGTTGATGTTACTCTGCCCACAGGGAAGGAAAGTCAAATACACAAAGAAGGTCCCTTTAAAGATAAAGTGAGTATGCTAACATTCTTAGCCCAATATCAAACATTAAACAGGCCCTTAGTGTATTAGTTCCACCCACCACCCCAACTCAGTCTTTAAAAAGGAATTTGGGGACAGAGAAGTTATGTCCGTGGGTGCCTGGCTAGGTGTGAGGAATTTCTGGGGCGCTCATATTGCCCTCATATTGGGGAGCTCGGGGTTTGGTGCTGGTAGGCACATGCAGAGGGCAGCTACAGCTCAGCAGTTTGCTTAGCCCTGATATGTAGTGCCACCTCAGTCCTTAAATGAGGGAGGAAGACCCTGGGGAAGGGACAAGACCAACCATCCCAGAGGGTGCTAACTCAGAAAGCAGACTCGAATCGATGCACCTCCAGTTCAGCTCCTCACCATTTACTCATGCAGGCTGCTCATTAAGCTCCATAAGGCCCTGAGGGATGAGACTGACCCTACCCTCAAGAGCTGCCAGCCAGCAGGGGAGAAAGTGACAAACAACTATGATACCGGCAGAAGGAAAGACACGCCGGGAGACACACATGAATAAAGGCCACAGTGTCTGCACCCTCTTCTGCCAGCAGGCCTTCTCTGCAACACAGCACCAGAAAACAAGGGACCCGTCACACTGCTTTGTATTTACTTTAGGCTTTGAGCTGCCCCACCCATTAGACTTATTCCTTATAACAGCCCTGTGAGGTCAGCACAATGATCCCCAGATTGTACGGAAATAATAACAATGGGAACAACAGAGCAGCGATATTTCCTGAGCACTCGCAGTGTGCCGATCATTGATTGGATTATGTCACCTGGATCATCTCATTTGTCCCTTATGCACCTGATAAGGCAGTTAGTGTATCAGCCCCATTTCATCGATGAAGAAACCGAGGCAAACAGACCTCCCCAAGGTCACCAAGCAGGTGAGTGGTGCCCAAATGAGGATACAAACCCAGGTCTCCTGACCCTAGGGCCAGGGCTTATTGGACAGGTGTGAGGTGAGCACGTGGCCTCACCCCTGCAGGGACCCTCTCTCCTTGTCCCCCTAGGGTGCATCTAATTCCAGTGACTGTTCTGCCAATGACACACCCCCTCCCCAGACATTGGTTCCCTCTCTGTTGCCCCTCCTGCCCTGTCGGGTCTCAGTGCTGCCCGTTCTTCACAACACCCTCTCCTGCCTCCCTGTCTCCATTCAGGCCCCATCACCGCTCCCTTCAACTGTTAAAGTAGCTTCCCAGCCCCTCCGACTCCAGGCTCATTCTGTCTCCAGTCCAGCCTCTACATGCTCACCAGCCTTGATAGGATCACACCCATGTTCAAAGACATCGCACGGCTCCTTGCAGCTCCAGATTAAAGTCCCACCTTCCGGACACAGCATTCAAGGCCGTCCACGCCCAGCACCAGCTACCTTTTCCCTCTACAAACCCTGCATTTCCAAACACACTGCACACTTTTTTGCTTCATCTTTGATCTGGAGACCCTTCCTGGTATCCAATGTCCATTTCCCAGAGCCTCTGCCTCTCTCTGTCAACTTTATATTCACTCTTCCAGGCTTATCTTCTCCAGGAGGTCTCTCTGGTCCTATATGATCTTCCCTTTCTCTTAATGCCCCTGGCTTCTATTGTTTCTTTCTTCAATTTAGCACTCCTCAACTGCCTGCCTTTGTGGCTATTTGTGATCAGACCCACTGGCATACCAACCCTTAATGGCCTCTGATTTCCTTGGAGGAATCACCTCTCCCCAACTCTGTGTTCAGGTGGTTGGGTGAAGCTGACCTCACCTCCCTCTCTCATCATGAAAGGAGGGCAGAAGTTCTAGGCCTGTCCCATCAGGGTCATGTGACTTGTTCGTGGATAAACACATGACCCAATTCAAGCCAATGAGATATAAACTTGAGACTTTCGCTGAAACAGTTGGGAAAGAAACACTCTTCTTACTGGAGTTTCTAAACTGGAAGTGTGTAAACCTGCAGCTTCTAGAGGCCATCTGTGCCACCACATGGGGAGAGCCTGCCTGAGAGTGAAGCCAACACAGAAGAAATCAAAGCCAAGAGGCAGAGAGGAAGATATTTTTAAAGATATCATTTGAGCCCCTGGATTTGACCATGCCTGCATACAGCACACCTTAGGTTTTTTCAGTTATATGAACCTGTTAAAGTTGGCTTTCTGTCATTTGCATCAAGAGTACTAAACAACACACTTACTAAGGGCCAGGCAGCATGCTGGGCAGTGGGGGTGCAGCTGCAAAGAAGATGTAAACCTGAACCTGAAAGAGCTCACGTTCTTTTTAAAATTTTTAAATTTTATTTCGTTTTATTTTTGAGACAGAGTCTTGCTCTGTTGCCCAGGCTAGAGTGCAGCAGCACAATCACAGCTTACTGTAGCCTTTACCTCCTAGGCTCTAGCAATCCTCCTGCCTCAACCTCCCTAGTGGCTGGGACCACAGGCACATACCACCATGTCAGGCTAATTTTTTATTTTATGTAGAGACAGGGTCTCCCTATGTTGCTCAGGCTGGTCTTGAACTCCTTGGCCTCAAGCAATCCTCTCACCTCAGCACCCCCAAAATGCTGAGATTACAGGCATGAGCCACCACACTCAGTCTATCTTTTTATTTTTAAATAAAAATAAATTTATTTTTTAATAAAATTAAAAATTTATATTTTATTGTATTGAGATTTAGTTAACTGTATTGAGATTTAATACAGTTAAATCTGTACTGAGATTTAATTAACTTATACACTTTAAAAGAGTGATTTATATATATATATATAAAGTGTATAATTCCATGGTTTTTAGTACATTCACAGAATTATGCAACCATCTCCACTATCATTCTCTACCTTGCATTAGAAATGATGAATACGTTCTTGCCCTGTTCTCTGTTCACCAGCTGCCTCTCTCAAACCCGGGGCTATGTTTTACACCTTTCTGCAGCATCAACAGCTCCAGTAGGTGCTCAGTAAACACCTGCTGAGCTGTACTCAGACCTTTTTAGGAAGCACAGCCTCAATTCAACAGTCCTTTAAATCCTTTTTAAAGCATAGTGAATAAGGGAAAAGATATTTGGCAAAGCCACTCAAGAAAAAAGACATGCTCAACAATCACTGGGATTTCTACATTGGATCTTGGCATCAGGGTGGTCTTTCTGACAGTTGTACCCCTAGACTGGGCTCCTTGGCTCCCTGAACTTTCTCTAAGTTTATTATTGAATGATTTAAGATAGTAACACATGAGAAAACATATAGGTCCAACAATAGGGGAATGATTAAATACGTATGGTTCACCCACAGGATAGAATAGTATACAGCCACCAAAAATCATCTTTACAAGGAGGATTTGAGGACATGGGGAAAAACCCATGATACAATGTTAACTGAAGGAAAAAAACATAAAAGAGCACATGGAGTATGATCTCAAGTACATAAAATAGTAAAAAATGACAACTGGAAGGGAATGATGCTAATTATTAGATGTTATTATTTTTGTGTAGATGGATTATGGGCAATTATTTTTCTTTATGCTTCTCTGTAATTTTCAGCTTTTCCACAATGAACATTAATCAAATTGAAAAAAAATATCTTTAACTCATTCCTTGGCTATTATTTTATTTTATTAGTGTGGCTAGAATAAGAAACAATCACATGGAGAACATTTCTGAAGACAGGAAGATCACTTGAGCCCAGGAGTTCAAGGCTGCAGTGAGCTATGATGTACCACTGCAGTCTGGCTTGAGCAAGAGAATGAGACCCCCAACTCTTTCAAAAAAAAAAAAAAAAGTCATTGTCTCTCAGATTTTTTAGATCAAACATTAAGTAATATGGTACATTTACCTTTTTACCTTGACTGCCAGGAAGCTCAGAGCTAAAATATAATACTCAATGCAATAAATTTTAGCCCAGGTTCTTGGTATAGTAACTTCTATGCTTCTACATAGTTTCTGATGCTTTCTTTTATCTGTATTTTCAGTTGTCTTGCTTGTTCAAATCCTCATTGGAATATATAAACGAGTATTTGCTGAAGCCATTTGGTGTTACACCAGAGAAGCAGAGGTTCTGATAGACAGGTATTCTGTTAGGCTGTTTCATTTTTACCAACACATGGCATTGAGTGAGGTTTTGAAAATCTACCACTATTCTACTTACAGAAGAGAGTCAATCTGGTTGTAGGAGGCTCCTTTATTGAGACAGATTGTCCCCAGGGACCAGATTAACCCATTCCTTGCTAAATCTCCATCTCTCTGCAGATCATATGGATAAAGGTCCATACTGGTGCCCATAGTCACTGGCCATTGAGGCCACTGATTGACAGCAAATGTCAGCAAATCCAGCCAAAATCTGTTCACCACATCCACCCTGTGTTAAAGTCTACAAACAATGTGACACAGCCTGCAAATAATTAGGCAGTGTCCACAAAGACAGCCAATCTGAATAAACTAGACCCTAAACACTCTAACACTAGCCACAAACATTCTTTAGATCGCTCTAGATTTTGCTGCAAATTACCTAGACTGATCCTTCCTTCACTCTGGCTCAGGGAGAAAGCACCTCTACTTTAAAGATAAGGCCACTTGTGAATTCACAGGAAATAAAAATGAAGGAAGGGAGCTGGGCACGGTGGCTCATGCCTGTAATCCCAGCACTTTGGGAGGCAGAGGTGGGCAGATCACCTGAGGTCGGGAGTTCAAGACCAGCCCGACCAACATGGAGAAACCCCATCTCTACTAAAAATACAAAATTAGCTGGGCATGGTGGCACATGCCTGTAATCCCAGCTACACGGGAGGCTGAGGCAGGAGAATCACTTGACCCTGGGAGGTGGAGGTTGCGGTGAGCCAAGATCACGCCAATGCACTCCAGCCTGGGCAACAAGAGCAAAACTCTATCTCAAAAAAACAAAAACAAAACAAAACAAAAAAAACAAAAAAAAAAAAAAAAAGAAGGAGGAGGAGGAGGGGAGGCAGCAGGACACATTTATTTAGTGCTTACAGCATGCCAGAGCACTGGCCGCTGAGCCTGCCAGCTCAGGGCATCTTCTACCCTGGCCTGTTATCTTCCTTAAGCTGTGTGTCACCTGCAGAGTACACATAATATTCCCACCTAGGCTTAGAGAGATTAAATACCCAGCTCAAGGTCATCCAGGGTGGAAAGTAACCAGTTTCTCACTAAAACCCAGGCCCCACCTACCCCAAAGCCCTGGCTCTGGGCCCCTTCAAAAGGCTAGAGACACTTCTCTGTTTGCACGAAGCTAAAATTATCTTCTGTCTTCCTTCCCACTGTTTTCTAAATATTCCCACGAATTGAAGAGTCTTCTGACTGTCTCATCCTCTTGACTTTGGGTCCTTTCACTCAGAAAGTCATCAAGACACACTCGAAAAATAAAATGTAAAGGCTTCAACCCACACCCTGAAACGAAGCACCCATCTCTTTGCTGCCACAAACAGGCCAGTATGAAATCTCTTTCAGGGAAGCTTTCTAAAGGGAAGAAACTGATGATGAAAACATTATGCAGCTGACAATACTTGGTGATGATGCAAGCAGGGCTGCCCTATCTAAAAATGTGTTTGTCCCCAAAAGACCGGCTTTGCAGTGACCCCTCCAGAAGAATATGTGCAGTAGCAACAGAGAAACTGTCAAGAAGATATGCCTCCGTGTAACTGCATTGCTGTCTCCATTTATGTGTGCCAGACAAGTACCCCCACAGAACTTGAGATGCTCAGGCAAAGACGAGGGCGATAGGAATGTCATTCGGAAATGATTTCACACCGGGTTAGCCCTGCACAGCCAGCCAGCTTGCATCCTCTGGGGCAGAGGACGCCTCTCCGCCTGCAGCAGCCTGCGCGTACCGCTGCCAACTGCCACCGGTTCCTTCACCTTTTATTTACAGCGCAGAGCAAGCTGGTTCACCGGTGAAGCGGGGGAGGCAGGGAATAAGATACAATCTAGATTCTGCTCTTTCTCTGGGGACATAAAGAGGGTCCGACCAAGGAGGAGGGGAAGCCCAGATTGCACCACCAGAGCAGTAGCGCGACCCTCCTCCCAAAAGGGTTCTGCACCTGGACTCCAGCAGAAGCGCCCGGAGAGTCCCAGGAAGCCAGGATCAAGCCCAGCGCCTCGGCCCCGTTCCGCGCGATGGAAGAGGCGCCAACCGAGCGTACTGCACAGGAAATCACTGCCCCCTTCAGGCCGCGTCTCAGACGCTGCGGTCGGAGCACAGGGGCTCGCTCGGTCCGGAAAAACTCGCAAACCCGACCTTGCGCGGCCAGCGATCGCTCCTCCAGACCCGCTCCGCGCGCTCCAGCCCCGGCCTGGCGGTGAAGGTCCGCTCTGGGGCTTCAGGCAGAACCCAAACCGAGGGCGTGGGGAGGGGTCTTGGGATGGAAAGCCCTTGGCTCTCTGGCTCCGCTCCGGACTGCTCTCCAAGTCTGTGCTCCGGCTGCTAGGTCGGATGCTTCAAGCCTGAGCCGTGAGAAACTGCCTGCAGCCGCCCGGCCAACAGCAGCGGCGCGGCCGGACACCACTGCACGTCCGGGACGAGAACTGCCAGGGCACTTTCTGAGCAACTAACCCGAGGCAGGGGTCTCCTGAAATCGCTCTGGCCACAGGCAGCGCCGGGCACGTCCAGGCAGAAGCGCTGCAGAGCCGGTGGCCCCACACTTGCCCGCGCGGAGCGGGCTCAGAGCTGCTGGCGCGCACCAGGCGCCCAGCCACGCTGCACGCTCAAGCCCCTTGGGTTCCGGAGCCTTCCGGACCTCAAAGCGCGGCTCGGCTTCCCTGGGGGCCTGTGAGCAGGCCCGCGGCCCCTCCGGCCCTGGGTGGCCCAGTTTGCAGTCAATGCGCCTGTTCCTCCCACTCGGTACCTCGCAGCCCCATGAGCGGGACCTGGACAGGGACAATCAATGTAGGCCTTTGGGGGTCCAGCCCCCACCTTCTCCACTCCTTTTTCTCTGGTCAAAAGAGACCCCAGTCTTCTATCCCACCCCCACCCCTCCCCACACACACATACACACATAAGACCAGAGGAGGGGGTGCTTGGCAAATGTTACCAGCTGTGCCAGCCAAGCCCAGCAGGACCGCGGGGGTGAACACTGGGCACCAGCCCTCTCTGCCCTCGGCAGGCGCGGGCCGGTCAATCGGGGATCTGACCAAAGGCCGGAGGTTGCCTGTGTCCAAACCACCCACCCCAATGCCCCCCGAAGCCCCGACGGCAGGGGCAGCCGGACACTCACCTCCGTGTCATAGAGCCGCAGGTCGAGGAAGTAGGGGCGCAGGAGTGACTCGTTGCGGATCTGCTCGATGGCCAGTTCCACGGCGGGGAGCACACCGCGCCCGATGCTGCCCTTGGCCACCTCCTTGGTGAGCGGCATGAGGCCCATGATGGAGAGCGGCGGGCTGCTGGGCGGCGGCCGGGGGGCGCCCCGCGCCCAGCCCCAGGCCCCGGGCGCCAGAGGCAGCAGCAGCGGCAGCAGCAGTAGCAGTAGCAGGCGCGCGGGCGGCGGTGGCGGCGGCGGCGGCGGCCCGGGCTGCCCGGAGCTCCGCGGGGAAGCCATGCCGCGCCGCGGGCTGCGGGCGCCGGCTCACTCGGCCCGCATGGCCTGGCCCGGCCCGCCGCCCCGCGCCAAGGTCTTCCCGCGGCGCCCGCGCAATGGCGCCGGCCCGGGCCCCGGCTCCGTCTCGGGCTAGGGTTCCGGCTCGGCTCAGAACGGCCGCGGCGGCGGCGGCGGCAGCGGCGGCGCCCGTGACGGATCAATCACGCCGGGAAGGGGTGGGAGCGAGCGGAGTGCGGGAGGCGGGGAGCAAGCGAGCAAACGCGGAGAGGGGGGCCGGCGTCTCCGCGCGCGCCTCTCTCCAGCGCGGCCGCCCCGCACCGGGCCGCCTCCGCCCGCCCCCGTGCGCGCTCTGAACCGCTCTCCCGCCGGGAGCTGCTAGGCGGCAGCCCCTGGAGCTCGGCCGGGGGAGGGCGGACGGCAGGAAACGCGGGAGGCGAAGGCGAGGCTGCTCAGGGGCGGCTCGGGCCGCCTCCAGGGACGGGGACGAGCCGTGCGCGCCGGGGGAGGGGGAGGCGCTGGCGCTGCGGCGGCCGCGGGGAGGGCCACCTTCCCAGCACACGCACACACGCGCCCCCGGCCCTCCGCTGCGCCAGCTGCCGCTGCCCGCCGACCGCTGACCTCCAGGCACCAGAGCGCCCGGGGACAGCGATCTGGGAACCGGGACCGCGCGCTGGCACACGCAGTGGCCGCCGCCGCTCCGCCGAGCGCTGCCTGTAGCACCTGCACGGTGGTTTGGAACCGCTTCTCGGAGGTCTGGCCGGGAAGGTCTGGGCAGGAGAATGTTCCACGAAGGCGTCCCAGAGGCATCTGCAGCCTACGCTCTCCCGTTCTTTTCTGGCGCCCACGAGCCCCTGACCGAGTCCCGGGGGTCGCTGAAGACGCCCACGGGTGCTCGAACGCCCGTTGGTGCCAGGCTGCCCGGCCTTTAGGGCCTTGGCTGAGGACACCCCTTTCCTCCCCACCAGACGGAGCGACCGCCCTTTGCCAACCCCAAGCAAAGCTGGGGTCCCAACCTTACGTGCGCTACCGCCCCCTCCAGGCATTTGACCTCCCCGCGTCCCCATTCTTGATGGGCCCCGCCCTAGAAGTCTCCCGGGGTGGGAGCACTATCCTCAGGCCAGGGCGGGGCCGCGCGCCCCTGGACTTGGCCCTCTCTCTGCCAGGTCGCACTGGCCAATCTTAGCCAAAGCAGTCCCGAGCCAGATGTACCCGAGTGAGCTGACCTAAGACCTTGGGTTCCTTGTGCCTCTGCATACTTCAAGAATAGGAAACGTGATCATTAATCTATAAAGTCCCAGGGGCTGATTAATGCGAGGAACACAGTAGGACATCAAATCACAAAACATACTTGAGCCTGAACCAGGGACTGTGGAAGATATCGACGACCTTGTAACAAGAATGGAAGTTTGACCTTCGCTGAGTACTTACTGTGTGCCTTATGATGTAATCCCCACAACTGCCCTGTAAGCATACTGTGTTACTCACCCTTACTTTACAGGCGAATACACTGGTGCTCAGAGAGGTTCTGTAGCTAGTGGAAGCACACAGAGCTACTGAAGGACCGGAACCCAGAGCCAGCAGGAACTCCGTGCACAGTGCAGTGGGAGCCAGGGATGTGGGACTGCAAGTTTCCTCTCCAGGAGGAGCACTGCCCTGACTCAGTTGCTCTGGACATCGATTCCCTCCGGCATATGGTGAGGGATTTGGACCGGATGATGATGATGATGGCCACACACCAGCTCTACTGGAGTGAGGCAAGGGCAGCTCTGAATCCAGGCTGAGTTGTTAGGAAGCACAAAGATGTGAGTGGAGGCTGAGCAGAACTACTAGAGAGTACCTTGGACAGCGCCAGGGAAACCAGGCCAAATTCTCTCTGCCCTAACTTCTCTTTCCAGGCTTCTATAGACTCCACCTCTCCCGGCTCCACTTGGCATTTCCTTTTCCCCAAGCTGGAGGGTTTGCATGAACAGAACTCACCTGAGCATCTCCTCCAGGAAGGGAGGAAGGAAGGGAGGGAGGGAAAGAAATGGTCCAAAGGACAGTGTAATCCCCAGATACTCGCTCAACTGCTGTCTCACTTGACATCACAAATATCCTCCAGTCATAGTCTTCTGGCACCTGCCATTCCTCAAACCCTTAGCTCAGGTTTCTGAATGAACATTTTCACTTGGTTTTTTTCTTTTTTCTAATTCTTTCCTTTAGTCATTTGTGTCCTCCTTGCAAGCTGTGCCAATATAGAGTGTCCACTGACACCTACATCTGGGAATAAGTTGAAAGCTGGGTAACTTTGCCTGACATTTACTAAGGGGTTGAAGGCCCTACCTGGCATCCTGCCCTACAGCCCCTCTGTCTTCTTTTATGGTGGGGTGACCTGGCCCCAAGACGCATGACCTGGGATCTGCCCTGACCCAGGGGGCACCAATCTCACTCTCCATCAGCATGGCTCCAGGCCAATCTCTGATCTCACAGCCCACTCCTAATGCCTGGGCATCCCTCTGGTTCCAAGATCTTACTCTGGCCTGGTATTACAGTTTGGGTAACTGCATCCCTGATGTGCTTCCTGAGTCTGAGTTCCTGCCTCAGTCACCAGCCTAGAATGCATGTTCCTCCAGAGCTGGGGTCCAGCGTCTTGCTTTATAATAATCATTCATTCCTTTGACCAGTGTTTTGAAGGGCATGCTACCTGCTAGGCACTGTCCTAGGAGCTGATGATATAGGAAGGAAAAAACCAGAACAAAATCCCTGCCCTTGTAGAATTGACATTCTAGTGGAGAAAGAGAAACAATAAATAGGAAGAAGAAGATATGTTAGTATGCCCATTTATGAAAAGTGCTATGGTGAACAAAAAAGCAGGAAAGAGGATTGAGACTGGCAGAGTGGGGCTGCAATTTGAAATAGGGAGGTCAGGGAAAGACACACTAAGGTGACTCCTCAGCAAAGACATAAAGAAGGTAAGTAAGAGAGACAGGCGAATAGTGTTCCATGCAGAGGAACAGCAAGGGCAGAGGCTCCGAGACAGGAGTGTGCCTGGCATGTTCAAGGAACAATGTGGAAGCCAATGTGGTAGAGCAGAGTGGGCAAAGGGAAAGCAATCAGATCCAAGGTCAAAGGCAGGTAGGACTGTATGGGGCCTCAGCACTGGGAGGGCACATGAAACAGCAACCGTGGGAGGCTACTGGGTGGAGCAGTGACATGATCTGATGTATTTTAAGAGGATCACTCTGGCTGTAGAGTGAAGAACCGTTAGCAGGGGAAAAGAGCGTGAGCAGGAATACCTGTTAGGAGTCTCTACTACAATAAGCACATTTGGTGGCCAGGCCAGGGTATAAGCAGAAGAGAGGATGAGAATTGGCTAATCATTGTGCTTCTTATTAATTGGAATAAAATGCATTGGCCAAGTCCCAGAATGTGGAAAACACTTGATTCCCTTGAACTCATCTACCTTTTAAGAGATGTAATAGAGACTTAGAAAGCAACGTGCTCAGGTTGCACCTCCAGGAAGTAATGAAACATCCGTGTTAGCCCAGGTCTGTATGGCTTAAATTATTATCTTGTTTGCATAATCCTGTTTCCTTAGCAATCTTTTCTCACAAACCCTCTGCCTACACACAGAAGCCAGTCTCTAAACCCCAGCTCAGAGGTTGAGAGATGGTGCCCGCTTCCTTTCTGGGGATTTTGGGGCTCCATGGTCCAGCTGGCTCCCTGTCAACATGACACTCCATCCCTTTGAACAGGATCCTGATGCTGGGAAGCTAACCAGGCCTTTCTCTGCTGTCTGCTCTCCTTCCTTATTGGGCTGACACCCTGTGCCACCCAGGGCTGCTCAGATCTGCCCTCCAGAGCTGCCTCCTTCCAGGAACTGGGTCCAGTTTTTAACACCCTTTTCCCCATTTGATTGTTATCCATGCCTGCCTCTACTCTAACTCCTAACAGCAGCAAGGTCTTCTCTCACTTTCTTCTTTAAAACAAAACAAACTATATATATATAGTTGATATAAGGTTGGTGCAAAAGTAATTGCAGTTTTTGCCATTGAAAGTAATGGTAAAAACTGCAATTACTTTTGTACCAAACTAATATATAGGATTGAGACTGGAAGGGTGGAGCTGCAATTGTGTGTGTGTGTGTGAGAGAGAGAGTGTGTGTGTGTGTGTATGGTTTACATACACACACATAGGCACACACATGCCATCTTTGCAAACATCTCCCATGTTATTTCTCATTCATGTTTATATGGAAATGTTTCTTTCAACCAAGTAGTTGGCAGCCTATTTTTTTTCTTGAAGTGCATTATTTATTTTCATTTCCTTGCTTTTTTAAAAATGGTAAGTTATGAATGATGGCTCTAAAAAAGACTAACTGAATGAATCTAAGTTGCATATCCCTTTTCACAAGGCATGTTTTTTAAACCATAAAATTAGGTTTCAGGTATCATATGTGGTCTGGTGACACAGCTTGAGTAATAACAATAGCTACCATTTATTAAACACCTACCTACTCTGTGCCAGACACCTTGGTATGCATCATCTTAATCTTCACATCTGCCTGAAAAATTGGTGTTAGGATCCCAGTTTTGCAAATTAAGAGATTAAGGTACAGCTTGATGAAATGGTGTGCCTAATGATACTTGGCAGAGGCAGCAAGGGGGTCCAAACCCAGTACTGTCTGACCAGTCCTGTCAAACCCAGTCCTGCCTGACCCCAAATTCCTGCATTTGTCTCCGCTCTACTTGCCTCTCCTTGAAGATGCCTTTATAGAACTGAATAGGACAGCCTTAAAGAGACAAAGAACACTGCTGAGGGTCCACACCAGAAAGAAGTGAAATGAGCTAACCAGGGAACTCCACTGAGTTAAAGAGAATCTGGGTCCTCTTTTGGGTTATCAGGGAGGAGAGTGTCTGGCCTGGAGAGTCTATGACTAAATCCTTCAAGAGTCAACAGCGGCTGGGCACGGTGGCTCACACCTGTAATCCCAGCACTTTAGGAGGCAGAGGCGGGCGGATCACGAGGTCAGGAATTCAAGATCAGCCTGACCAACATGGTGAAACCCTGTCGCTACTAAAAAAAAAAAAATTAGCCGGGCATGGTGGCATGGGCCTGTAATCCCAGCTACTCAGGAGGCTGAGGCAGGACAATTGCTTGAACCCAGGAGGCGGAGGTTGCAGTGACCCGAGATCGGGCCACTGCACTCCAGCCTGGGTGACAGAGCGAGACTCCATCTCAAAGAAAAAAAAAAAGAGTCAACGGCAAGGCTAGGGCAGGCCAGCAGAGCCCAGAGCCTCCTCCTTTACCCATACTCTTCATGTGGTTTGAGAACTGTGGAAGATTGATTCAGGTCAGTGGGACAGGTCCTGAATGAACACAGAAAGGACATTTAGCTTGTAATTGGGTGGTCTCCAGAACAACACAGACTGGCAACAGGGATTAAATCCTCTCTCATTTAGAGGTTTCAAAAACAATTAGATTATTAACAAAGGGGACCCAGGATGGACAAGAGGGAGAGTTTTAGAACAGAACCTTAGACGAAGAACAGGCTTAGGAAGCCTCTTTTCCTACCCCTCCAAACATATGAGTCCCTCTTTACCCCTTAGGGACAGTGGTGAGTTTTGGAGTCAGGCAGCCCTGGCCTCAAATTCTGGCTTGCTAAGTATTAGTGGTGCAACTTTGAGTAAGTTACTTAACTTCCCGAGCTTCATTTTCTCCATCTGTAAACTGGGAACAATAAAGGTTCCTCTTTCATAGGGTTATTGTGAGGATTAGATAATGACAATAGCTAACACATAGTGAGCATTCACATGTGCCAGACACTGTTTAAACCACTTTACATGTAATTATCTCCCTTATTAAGATAATGCATATAAAGTTCTTAACACAGTACTAGGTACTTATTAGGCATGTAATAAATAATTATATTACTGCTAAAGATGGCAAGATCAGTGCCTGCTGAGGTTCCCACTTCATTACTTGATTCATGAGGTTTTCACACATTTTTTTCTTAGGCTCCACCAGTAGGCCTTTCTACAGCTTTTACCGGGTTTTAACCTGTTGCAGGAGTCCACAGCACTCCCTCTCACCCATGGCAGTTCCTTCCCAGAGGTAGTTCCTAGGCACCCCCTCACTCTCCACCTCTAGCCAAGTCTTCTTCTTTGGGAGAAATGCCCCCAAACCTCCCCTGGCCACAAGTCTAGAGTCTGCTCATGGCTCTCCTCAAAGACATTACCCAGAACCAACCACAAAACCCTCCACCTGGGCCAAGAAAGATGTAGAAGAGCATGGCTGCCCTTCTGTGCTCACACCTGTGACTGCTGTCCCCACTGTCCTTATAGTCCAGATTTACCCACATTTTGCTAGCAGCTGCATCACCCCTTTGGCTTATAGGAAGCTTGTGGTTCTCTAAGAACCCTAGGTTTGTTTTCTATGGGGTTATTGTTGCTGATGCTTCAAAAGAACAGCAAGCCACATCTCTCTAACATTACTTATCAGCCGTTTAATTTGGAGGCCTCTGAATAGGATTGAAACATTTCACCTTTGACCATGTCCTGATGTTGCAGCCTGTTGAAGGCATCCTTGTGTGGTGAGTCTCTTATCACTCATATTCACCATCCCTCTCAGTTAATGCCATTGTCATTGCACAATAGGATTTTCTTTCTCATCCTATAGCATTAGTCAAAATGTTAAATAGGAGAATGCCAAAGACACACCCTGTGACTGCCCACACTGGGGGTCATCTGCCGCCTCTGGTTCTACAATTAAACCTACTGAAAATTGCTCCCAACTTCCACATTCTGCAGTCCTCATTTCTCTGTCTTGCACTCCTGAAAATCATGAAAAGCCTTGCTAAAGCCCGGCTGAAACCCTGATACATGCTACCTCTTAATTTCTCTGACCTGTCAGATGAATAACTCCATGAATAAGGGTGGTCGTAACTGGGCTGGCTCTTGGTGAACACAACCACCGTAGGGAGCACTGCTCTCCTCTGTGTGATCACACATCATTTATCCAATCAGCTCTTCTCAAACGCTGCTGACAATAAACACCCAAATCCCCTACTGCTGAAGTCACCATTTTAGGCTCTTAGGAAACCTGAACCCTGCTGCATCCCCTGCCACCTAACCCTCCCTTTCACTCATCTCCCAAAGATCCTTCAGATGCTCTTTCTGGATCCTAGCTACAGTGTCCTGCTGTCTTGACAGGTACTTCATCTGGCCCTGGAGACATAGGCTCGTTGAAAGCTTCTAGGTGCCCTCTAACAGTCTCCTCATCTTTCATTTTATGCTTGCTCCACTATCTCCTGTTTGCTGGTCATTCTCCACCCAATACATCCTGTGTGCCTCTGTTACAGGCCTGGAGATGAGAAAATTCTGCATTCTTTTCAACAAACGTCCACGCTTTCTCCTAATGCACCACACAAAGTCCCTTTTGTGGTCCATGGCATTATCCCAACGCTTCAGGTCATTCTGGGATTGAGCGCTTGCAGGGTCCAACAGCTTCCTGATACCTCCATTCCAGATCCTGACTTTCAGTTTCTCTCCATGGCCCTAAGTATGTTTCATAAATTTTATTGAAATATAACAGACAGTTCAATGAATTTTCCCAAAGTGAACACACCCATGTAATCACCATCAAGAACCAGAACATTACCAGCACCCAAAAGTCATGTTGCTGGCCAGTCACTCACCTTCTCAAGGGTGACCACCATGCTGACTCTGCTAACACTGTAGATTGGGTTTTGCCTCTTCTTGGGCTTGATATAAATGGAATCACCATCTGTCCTTTTGTGCCTGGCTTCTTTCACTCAACATCGTGAAAGTTATCCATATTGTTGTATATGATTGTAGATCTTTTATTCCCATTGCTGTACAGCATATATCCTTCAGAGAAACTCTCCTGCAGGCCCCTAAGGAGAGATGTACAAGGACACTTACAGTGTTGTTTGTAAAAATGGAGAGTTAGCGGTAGCCTTGGCACTTATTGCCTTTATTGCACTTTTAAAAATCTGACATCATCACAAAGATCTGAGTATATGATTTTCTCTCCACCCACCCCCAACGTGGCTGGTTGCAGTCTCACTTGTATATATTCCTACGTCTATTCTTACATTTCTCCATGCTATCTTTCATTTATCCCGCCAAACTGACTTTTCCAAATCTTGTCACCCCCCAGCTCAACACATTCGATGGCTCCCTATAACCTCTGGGGTACAAACTCCCACGCCTGGTATTACAAGCCACTTACAATGTGGCTCCAATGTTTCCAGCTTTAGCAACCAGCTCTCTCTCCCCACACCTTTTATATTCTAACTACGTAGAATATATTAGCTGGCCCATAAACATGAACCCCTTTTCTGCCTCCATACCTTTGCTCATTCTATTCCTTCAACTTGGAACACTCTTCCCACTCTTTCTCCCACTGACAAAATCCTTCAAAACTCAGGTCAAATGTCACCTCCTTTGTGATATCTCCTCCAGTCACTCCAGCAGAAATAATTGCTACCTTTTCTCAGCATCCATAGTAAGGCTTGGTTCATGCTGACAGATAATACTTATCATTTCTTTAAAAGTTAATTACCACATTTCACCATTCTAACACACACGTTCTTATTCATCTCTGGAATCAGGATGCACTTTGCCATTGATGGCATCTTATAGTTGGAAGTATTCTTTTTCTTTCTTGTTGATACATAAAATAATGGTGTTTAAGATTCAGTGAAATACAGTATTTCATTTTTATCTCAGCATATTCTAGAAAAGCTTGTCACACTGCATTGTATAGTTAGTTGTCTACAATTCTGTGTTCCTTTTCATGTGTGAGGCCATAGGCATGCACAAAGTCAGCAATCTGTTCAATGAAGAGATGTGCACCGTTCACTAGTACCTGAACATTTACTAAGTCATGGGAGGTGATGTGGCAGGGAAGACCTCCTAGTGTGGTTCTTCATGAGGTTCCTCACAAGGCTGAAAGAGTTACCCTTTCCTCCTGAGGTGCTGAGGCCCAGGAGACAGTGGTGGAGGGCTGGAGAGAGCCATAGAAGTCTCTCTTCCTTGTGGCTGGCTGTCATGTCAGCTCGCATCGGGGCAGGGGAGGAGAAGTTACATAGGATTAGTTTAATGCCCAATCCTTGATCAGCAAAGCAAGCTTCATTCAATTATAACATCATTCCTATTGGGTAAATAGGATTTGCTTCTCAAGGATCTGATTTATGGCCTGGTTTTCAGGAGCATGCTGTGATAGAAAGCAGTAGCATCCTGTTGTGCCAATCTCATTCCAAGCCTCTCTTTTTGAGTAACAACAGTGAGTCTTTTAATTTGCTTTTTCCTAATGAAATCAGTTATTTCTCCTGCCCACACCACCACTCTATGTTATATTAAATAACAAAGGACACAGATAGGCTGGCATCTGACTTTAGTGGTATTTCAGTTACCTTTTGCCCATTTCTTAATATTTCAGCCTTTCAAATTGTATAGACAGTTTAGGTAAAGGCCAGTATGTTTGTCTTAGTCCATTTGGACTGCTATAGCAAAATACCTTAGACTGGGTATTTACAAACAGAAATTTGTTGCTCACAGTTCTGGAGGCTGGGAAGTCCAAGAGCAAGGCACCAGCAGACTTGATGTCTGGCAAGGACCTGTTCCTTGTAGATGGTGCCTTCTGTGTCCTCACATGGTAGAAGGAGGACACAGAAGTCACCATCAAGCCTCCTTCATGAGGGCACTAATCCTATTCAAGAAGGTGGAGCCCCCATGACCCAATCACCTCCTAAAGGGCCCACCTCTTAATACCACTACAGTGAGGATTTGGTTTTAACACAAATTTGTTTTGTTTTGTTTGAGACAGAGCCTTGTTCTGTCACCCAAGCTGGAGTCCAGTGGCACGATCTCGGCTCACTGCAACCTCTGCCTCCCAGGTTCAAGTGATTCTCCTGCCTCAGCTTCCCGAGAAGCTGGGATTACAGGCATGCACCACCATACCCGGCTAATTTTTAATATTTTTGGTAGAGATGGGTTTTCACCACGTTGGCCAGGCTGGTCTCAAACTCCTGACCTCAAGTGATCCGCCTGCCTCGGCCTCACAAAGTGCTGGGATCACAGGTGTGAACCACTGCGCCCAGCTGGTTTTACTACAAATTTTACAGGGACACAAACACTGGGACCATAGCAGTGTCCTATTGATTTTTCACATGCTTCTGAAGTTTGGAATTACAACATAGTCAAATGCTTTGGGATGATCCACTTTATATGATGAATGATACTCTCATATATTGTGCAAGATATTGCACTATCCTGCCTGCACAAGACCCCATGAATTCAGATGGATCTGTGGCTACGTTTAGAGGATTGGTTGAGGAGAAAGTTTGCTCCTGTGTTCATTAGGATTACTGAACAAGGTAGCAGTTTTATAAGGTTTCCTCCAGTTTCAGGTTGGCTTTATAAAGAATCACTGCATGTATCAGGTATTGCTTTCTGTTGGGTGGTTTTCCTGGGTATTTCAAGGGCATGGGGATTGCCAAACCGATGAGCATGATAAAGTTCAATTGCATGGCCATCTGGACTTCCTTTGGGGAGTTTCTTTGATTGATATCTTTATTTTGTCAGGATCCAGGAAAGCACTTAATTCTTTCATATGATGTTCATTATCTTTTAGCAAATGAGATGCCTCTGGGAATTTTCTAAATTCCATCTTCTCCTTCAGAAAGGATACCATAGCTTGCAATGTGAAAAAAACAATAAATAAAGTTTCTTTCTGTCAAGTGGCACACTCTGGCTAATAAGTCTAAGGATAAGGAATAACTGGAAGGGTAAAAACAGATTTATTTTTCACTTCATACCCTTCTATACTGTTTGAATTATCTCTTACCATAAGCATATATTCCTTTTATTTAAAAAAAGGTTCTTATATCATTTTGCCATTTTGTTATTGCTTTTGTTTCTATTTTTATCCTTTTCTTCTTTTCCTTTTGTGAAGTTTGTGCAGAGGATGACAAGTTCAGTTCATTTAAAAAAACTCCAACAACAAAAGAGCAACCAACCCACCATATTTGGTTTCTATATTTACTATTGTTTTTTTCTGTTTCAATTTTCTTTTTATCTCTGCTCTGGTCTTTCTCAATATTAGATTTAACCTTATATAGAAATAAATTTTTAAAAAACTATGTCAGTGTCTCTAAACTTTGGGAGGGGGAGCTGTTAGGAACACTTTAGAGAATCTGGTGTGGGGGTGGGCGCGGTGGTTCACACCTATAATCCCAGCACTTTGGGAGGCTGAGGTGGGCAGATCAGCTGAGGTCAGGAGTTCGAGACCAGCTTGGCCAAGATGGTGAAATCCCATCTCTACTAAAAATACAAAAATTAGCTGGGTGTGGTAGCATGCACCTGTAGTCCCAACTATTCAGGAGGCTGAGGCAGGAGGATCACTTGAACCCGGGGGGTGGAGGTTGCAGTGAGCCGAGATCACACCACTGCACTCCAGCCTGGGCGAAAGAGCGAGACTGCATTTAACAACAACAAAAAAGAGTCTGGGGGAGCTACAGATTATCATGCAAAGGAAAGTGCAGGCAGCTTCAGGGGTCATGCCCTTCCCCAACCTGAGGCTAATATCTTTTCAGTGCAATCTAGGGTATATTACCCTTTGCATATATCATTGCATGTAATTATGTTTAATAATTATGTGAGGCATCTGTATGCCCACTTTTCAGAAGAGAAAATGGGGTCTCAGAGAGGTTGAACGATTTGCCCAAGACAGCACTGGAATAGTGACAAACTTTGGACAGTAATTTTGGATTTAAGCGGCCAGCCAATCTTTTCCACCACACCACAGCTTGAAGGTTAAGTAAACAACTGATTTTGTAACTTTTCATATTATTGACTCCCCTTTGTTGAAAGGGGGTGCTTGTTGCCTCATACTGTTTCTTTGCTGGTTCTTTGGATGAGGAGACCTGCGGCTTGCATGTTCTTCTCTGGACGTTGTTTGATGCTGGGTGTGAGTCTCTGAGGAAGTCAGTTGATTTACTGGCACATTGGAGGTCCTCAAAACACAATCCAGAAGAGAGTCAGAGGCCCTGGAGTTCCATCCCTCTCACTGCAGCACCCCTGGCATTGGTGGCACCACCTCTGGGGGCAAGGAAGACAGGTGGGGTGAGGGAGGAGACAGAGGGGAGTCAAAGGAGGAGACAGGAGACTTGCACCCCATTCCCATTATGCTGACAATTGGAGGCCCCTTGGCTTTGGTTCTTTTTAAAATGGGATGAGTGATCATGTGAGCAATTTTAGCAACAAAAACCATCTTGAGCATTTACCATGTGCTGGACTCCATGCTTAGCACTTTACAGCTAGGAAGAGGCAAAGCTGGGGTTCTGACTGGTTTGAAAGTCTCCAGAGCCCTCTACCCTACAAGCTATACCGTCCCACCCTGACTCTGAGGCCCCAACAGGCCCCCTCCAAAAGACTGGCAGCAGATCAAAAGGGATGAGAAAAGAGATGCCACACCCTTCCACATACCTCTCTTTTCCCTTTTGTGAAACCTTTCTTGCCAAAAGTTTACATTTTTAATGTTTATGAAAATAATATTATGATCAATGAAAAATTAATGTTCTGTATCTATTTTTAGGCATTTAGGGTCTCCCAACCCATGATGATAATGTGAACTACTTTGAAAGAAATCTCACTCATTTTGGGTTCATTCTTCCCTAATTCACATAACCAGAGCGTCATTCGGGCTTGCTTTAATTTTAAAAGATCTTTTCATAGGTGTGGTTTGGAAGGTGTATTCAAGATGAAAAGCAAGGTGATCACCCCTCATTGTGATTTCTGATCACTTTGGTACTGGCCACTTCTCACTCCCTGCTGCCCGCCCAAATGTCATGACCTTTGTGCTTCTTTGTACACACAAAACTCTCCCCTTGGAAAGCTTTACCCACCAACTTTAAACTCCACCCACTTTTCAGGGCCCAGATAAAACTCTGCCTTCTCTGTGAAGCCTTCCCCAGTGTCTCTCCAAGGAGTTGGTGCCTCTGTCTTCTGCATGACCCCAGCTCTTTACCTCCACCTCCTGCAGGGCCCTGAGCACTTTCCACCTGGCACCACCAGCACTGCTGAGACTCAGCTGTCTCTCTACCACACTGTGTCTATCCTTTGCCTCCCCTCCGGTCCAAGGCCTGGCACATAGTAGGTCCTCAGAGATCTATTGAGAGTCATTGGCAATGGCCAAGACTTGTCTTCCACGCTCCCTATAATTTCTCCTATATGCCTATCTGCTCTCAGCATCCACTGGGTCCAATTCACTCTCACTCTCTCTGGTCCTCCATGTACTCTGTCCTTTTCAGCTTTTCCCCCAGTCTTCACTTGACACTGCATGTTTTGGTAATCTATTGCTGGCATAACAAACCACCCCCAAATGTTATGGCTTAGAATAACCATCACTTTATTTGCTTATGACTGTAATTGGGCCTGGGCTCAGCTCAAAGTTCTTCTGCTGGCCTTCAAAATGGCATGGATACTGGGAGACACAGTTCATGGGGGCCACCAATGTCACAGACATCTCACCATCAATCAGGGCTATCTGAGTCTGTGTCTGTCTCCTATGAGTGGAACTCCTTGAGGGCTGGGGTTGTGTCCCCAGAGCCAGCACAGTTCTTAGCAGAGTTGGGGGCTTAGTGAAGAGGAAATTCCCTAAACAAGAGTCAGAAAACTCAGGCACTGGACCAGTTTTGCCCCACATGACTTTGTCCCAATCCCCACCCCTCTCTGCACCTGTTTCCCCACCTATAATCACAAGAGGTTCAACAGATCTTCCAGCTCCTTTGAGTGTGGCTGTCATCCTGTGATTTTATAGGACTGAGTCCAGCATCCTTGATAAGGCTCCTGAGGCCCCAAGAGCCTCCCACAACCTGATTTTCCAGCCACAGACCCCAGGCCCCAGACACATCCCACTTCTTGCTGTTCCCTGGATAAACCGTTTCTAGGCCTCCATTCCTTTTCTTATGCTATTCTCTCTGCCTGTGCTATCACATCCATCCTTTGAGGATAGAGTGTACACTGCTTTAAACCTCATTTGCAGAGGCCGAGCAAACCACCTCCTTGGTTAGACATATTCACCTTCCATTCTATGCAAGGCCCTTCTCCCCTTTTGTTTTTCCCTTCATCCCTAATTCCCATTCTTCTCCCAACCCCCAACATGGTCACTCCTCCAATGTGCCGGATACATGTCACATATTTGTCTATTCTTATAAAATATTCATTCCTCTAGTAATAAGTGCCCAGGCTACTGCTAACTCTCCATTTTTACAAACAACACTGTAAATGTCCTTGTACATCTTTCCTTAGGGGCCTGCAGGAGAGTTTCTCTGAAGGATATATACTCAGGATTGGGACTGCTGGAACACAGGTATATTCATCAGTCTAACAGAAAGTAGAAACTGCTTGAGTACGTAACACAGGGGCACTTGAATGCAGGGAATTAATTACTCAGAGGATGGAAGAGCTGCGAAGTAACTTGGGGATGGGGAGGCAGCCATCCACAACAGCAACAGCAGGAAACTGCCCCCTTCCCCAAGCTGGAGGGACAGAGGGGAGAGATTAGCTGGTAAAGTTGGAATCCCAGCTGAGCTGTTCGGCCACAGCTGGCCCTTTGGGGATGCAGCTGCTGCTTGGAGATGCCACCTGAGGCCAAGGGAGGAGGAGAACACCCTGGCTTCTTCCTTACTCTGACAGTCTGCAGAACTTCTCATATTTCTTGTGATGGGAGCAAGATGGTAGGATAGGAAGTCCCAGACTCATGAGTCAGTCCTTACCCCAAGTCGACACAGCTCAGTGCTGAGGGCAAAAGTATCTTCAGTGCCTAGCACACAGTGACTTCTTCCACAAGGGGAAAGAGTGGAGCCTATCAGGGCCACTCAGTGGGAGTTGGATGACAAGAAGCCTGGGAAATGCAAGCTGGAGGGACCAATCCCCATGACACAGCCCACAGCAGGAGGAGGACGAGACCCATCTCAGGGCACACAGGCCTGGGGGGGCACACTGCAGGCAGGCACATACCCAACTTCACTTAAATATGCCAGGCTGCTTTCCAGATGGCCATGCCAGCGAACATGACCCACATCCTTGCCAACACTTAGCATTATCCACCTTCCTAGTTTTTGAAATTAATGGGTATACAATGGACTCTTACTGTAATTTGCATGTCTCTCAGTTACCGGTAAGGTTGAGCATCTCTTCCTATGCTTGTCAAATATTCAAGTGTCTGTTTCTGTCAACGGCCTTTTCTTGGTTTGCAAATATTTCTAGCTACAATCCCTTATTAATCCCTTGTCAGATTTAGATACTGCAAACATCTTCTCCTTGTCTGTTCACATTGTGACCTTCATTTAAAAAGAAATCTTTGATTTTTAGGTAGTCAAATCTTTTATTATTATTTGCCTTAGGGCTTTGTGCTTTTTGTGTCTTAAGAAGTTTAGCTCCACTTACCAGCTCTCTCACGTCCCCTCTTTCCTGGATTACAATTCTATATTCCTACACCTGTAGAGAGGGAGGAAGAAGCTTGGTTGTTTCTCCCGATCTTCTACATGACCCAATTTCAAGCTACTTTCTCAGACAGAGATGTTCTCTACCTGTGTTTCCCAGGCTGAGTATTCGTCGCCAAAGAAGACTTTGTTTTCTGGGGTGTTAACTTCCTAGAGAACATACTAGACATTGTCAGCACAAACAACTCCACAGCTGAAAACAGCAAGGAAGAATATGAAGGAAAGATGCATGCAACAAAACAGGTTTCCAAACCAGGTGCCTCTCATAACTGCAAGAAAAGGAAGCATGTAAAATGGTGAAAGTGAGGATTTCTCAGTTCTCACCTTCCTCAGGTGTCATGTCTCAAGGTAATAAACATGGCTCAAGTTCATTTTCATTCCTTTAATTAAAAAAAAATTCAGAAAGTGATACATATCATGGTTGTAGAAAGACAGAAAGAGCTTTGAACTCAGATGTCAGACAGACACCAGTCTAACATGGAGCTGACTTGTGATCTTTCTACAAGTCATCCCACCTGTTGGAGCTGCAGTTTTGTCTGGCCTGTAAAATGCAATTTACCATGTACACTTTTCCTTAAGAAGCTTCACTTGGAGAGTGGAAATGGAAGTGCTTTACAACTTTTACAAATTTTTAAAGCACCTACTAAGTGCTAGGCACTGGGGATAGTTTTTCTCATTTAATCCTTACAACCATCATAGAAGGATAAATGTTTTATACCCATTTTACTGGTGGGAAGACTGAGAGATCCAGAGGTTCAGAGAGATTAAGTAACTTCCTCAGGCTCACACAGCTAAGATTGTTATTCCCCTTGCCTTAGTTGGACTGGAAACATGGAGCTCTCTGCTTTGGGGATCTTAGCTTTTCTATTTCGTATTTGTCAAGTTATTTCAGACTGAAGCATCCCATTTTCGTGCCCTGGGAACCAGGTTAGAAACAAATTTCAGATAGTGCTTTCCAGATCTTCCCTCCCCTCAGCTGACGCAGTTCTCCACACTCTGGCAACCCCAGAGATCTCCAAACCCAGCTGCAGAGGCTCAGAGGGTCCCCTGAGACAGCTCTGAAGTGGTTCCCATGGCTCCTAGCAAGTGGAAAAGCGATAGGAGGACCTTGTCTATCCCAAGGGGTAGAAGGTGAGAGAGAGCCCTAGTGATGTAGCTTCCCATCACTAGGAGTTGGGAGATTGCCCAGCTCCTAAGCCCCCTGACTCCACTCCCAGGAGATGAAGCTGCCTGGAACCCCACTGGCCGACACAGGACAGAGGTGCTGAGGGCACAGCCTGGGTATCTGAGGACATATTGGGGTGACTTGGAGTAAATACAGCATGGAAGGACAGGTGCACTGGCAGCTACCCTCGGGCGTCACCTGCCAGCTCAGGCTAATGATCCTGGGGCCATGACTGGGGATGGCAGGCTCGGGTGTTGCCCTCCCCTTGAGACTGGATAGACACCCTTTCCCTCTGAGCTCCATTCATAGGAAACTCCCAGGTCCCAGTTGGCAAGCACTGAAGGGCCCAGGGCTGATCCCTCTCAATGCAGGTTCCTGTCAGCAGATGAACAAAGCATCAGGTGACTCCAGGAGCAATGAATCTCCGTTCCCTTCTTAGAAAATGATTATCAAGTCACAGACTGTCAAAGCTGGAACAAACCTCAGAGATGGTGACATCAAACCTGCCTTACAGTGTACATGCGGAAAACAGGCTCAGAGAGGGCAAGCAAGGCTGCTCAGCACAGCAGATGTCACCCTGAGCCTACATTCTCAGCGATGCTCTCTGCTTAAATCATTCCTAGCAGCTCCGTGAGAAAAGCCCTCATCCCATGAGACCTCTGCCAAATTTGGGGCTGCATTGAACTAGGGATATTCCTCCAGATTTTGAAAACTTTAAGGCATAGCCCTCTTAGTTTTAAAATTTCACCCTGAACCATTTTGTTTCATGGAGTGTACAGAAATCTTGTTTCTCCCAAGAAAACAACAAAGAAACGATGGCTTCCTGTGTGAAATCCCCGGGAGGTGTAGGACTCAAGAAATATTCTGCTTCTCCTCTTGCAGAATCCATAGGGAACCAGAGAAATCCCAAGTCTAATGTTTCCTGGGGAGCATCACTACAATGCTGGAACAAACATCAAAGGAAGATACGATTGGTGGAGTGGAAAAACCGTGCATTTAGAGTTGAGAGACTTAGGTGCAAGTTTGTTTTGTCACTGATCTGCTGTGTGACCTTGGACTGGCACCATCTGGTTCTGGGTGTTTATCCCCCATCATTTGGAGGAAAGACGGGATGCTCACTAAATGTACTTCCAGCTTTAGTACCCACTGGGACCCTAGCTCTCCCCACTGCTGTCCCTGGGCACCACCTCCAGCTTTCCTCCTGAGCTTGCAAAGCCTGGGAAGAGAAGGGGTTGGGTGTTTTTCTTCCATTTAAGCTCAGACTTATTAAGTGACTTGTCCACATTTCTCTGGAAGTGACAGGCGATGAATACGGAGTTCCTGAGGCGCTTTGTCCAGATCTGACCATGGAAATCAGGAGAAAGACAAATAATCTCCAGATTGCCTGGGTTGACGTCGCTGCTAGAGGATGATGTTAATTCTGCTGTTTACAGAAATAAGTCCAGTGTTGAGTCGAAGCTTTTTGGTGTCTAAAACCAGATGGTATTTCCTGCCTTGATCAGCCTCAGAGCTTTGGTTCCCATGGCAACCCTGAAGTTCCACCTACTGCAACTTCCCTGTTCTCCAAGCTTCTTCCTCTTCCACCATCATGCTGGGTCCATGGAGAATAAAGCCACTAACCAGCAGGTGCACAGCATTTGACAGTTTACAATATACTCCAGCAGTTATTACCTCATTTAATCATCACCACAGCTTTGCCAGATAGCATTTGCTAACCGCCCCCCATCCTACGGATGGGAATACTGAGGCCTCAGAGATGAGGCGATCTGCACTTTCAGCCCTCTATGGTGTAGGTAGACGTCAAACCCAGGTTTCATGATTCCGGATCTCCACTGTGCCAGGATGAATATGAATACCCTGCCCTGCAGATCACCTACTATGCTTAGGATTCCTAAATGATCATTTCCACAAATAAATCAGGTCTAATCAAGGCATGGCAACTTTAAGCAAATTACTTGACTTCTCTGTGCCTTACTTTGCTCATTTGTAACATGGGTTGTAATAATGGTACCTCTGGGTGGATGAGAGGATTAAGCATGCATGTACAACCAGAAGAAATACTTACTGGGGTTGAAGGGAAACCTGAGAAGCCAGGGTGAGTCTCAGTTCTGCCCTGCCTATCTGGGTGACTCTGGGTGGGTCATCTTGCCTGCAGAGCCTGCTTCCCCCAGTGTAGGAGGGAACAGCATCACAGTGCTCACACGCACGTGGTGCTTGAGAAGATGAATGCGCCGCCCCTCACGCTGCAGTGCACATACGCATCCCCTGGGGACCCTGCAAGGCCTGCATTTCTTACAAGTGTCCATGGACAACACTTTGAGTAGCAAGGCTGTAGCAAGGAAAGCTCCACACAGGTGTTATGAGTGATCAATCATGCAAAGAGCCATGCCCCGAGCAGTAGAAAGCTCAAGAAGCTTGAAGAGCTCACTGCAGGTGAGCAGGAGCCCCTTGGGCAACTTTATCAGGGTGTGAGATTTCTGTCAGAAGGGCTCCTTCGGCCCGAGCCCTGGGCTCTGCACAGCCTGGAACTCTTACGGGGTTCTGGTGAAAGCTCTCCCTGATCTTGCTCTCAATAGAGGACATCAAAACATCAATGTGTTACACCTTGCACAACAAAAAAAATTTATTGATGACTTGTGAACTCTTTAAAATAGACTTTAAATTAAAAGCAAAGTCAGTGTGACCCAGGAATGATAAGTGGCCTATGTTCAAGTTCATGACAGACAGGGGATCAATGGAGACCCAGCACGTGGCTCTAAAAACAGTCTGCACTTTGTGCTTCCCCCCATTTTCCTTTGCTCCATATTCTTCCTTATGTGACTATGGTTTGTAAACTAAATTATGTGCGTTTATTGCTACCTAATTAACAAATATTTTCCATTTATTCTTGCAATAAGTCTGGCCAGTGCATCCCTAGGCCTTGCCACAGGTCCATATCCCAGCTCCTCTGCCTGCTCTTAGCTCCAGGGACATGGTGACTGCTGATAAGGAGCTCCTATGCCCTCCAAGGAACAGTGAGAAAATGAACGATTAAAAGTTTCTGTGCCCGAGGGTCACCTCCATGTGCCAGGCACTGTGCTGGACATTGAACGATGTGAGTCCTCACAGCAGCCCTGTGAGCCGGGGTGTTGTGACGCCAGTGGATCACAAGCTCCTAGAGGGCAGGGAATTTGCTTTACTCCCTGGTGCATCCCCCGAGCCGACGAGGGTGTGCCATCAGTGTCTGCTGCATGGACATGCTCGCCTACCTGAGAGAGGCTGTCAGCACCCCCACATGGCCTCCTAGTCATGTGACACCCATGAGGTCACCCCACAGAAGCTGCAGTGACAATGGTGTGCAGCCTCCAGCTTTAGCTCTTTCTTCGTTTCCCAGGTTCCCCTCCACGCACACTCAACTCTTTAGAAAGCCCCTTGTCACAGGCCGGGTTCCCTGGGAAGTGCGCTCTGAGGTGAAGCAGAGCCTGCAGCCTGTTGCTTAGGAACTGACCTTGGGACAGACACCTGTGGAAGGGAAGAAGAAAGGTAGGACTGCGCGGAAGGAGAGGCCAATGGCTGCGGCTGAGGCGGGGGAGCGGGAGTCCATGGGAGTCCACAGGGCAGCCTCAGCTGCCTCGAGGGCACCCATAGCTGAACAGGTCAGTCAAGTGGATGTCCATGCCAACGCCTGGGCGCTTCAGGGAACACTCATCTTCGGACTCAAAGGGAGTGTCTGGGTCATGATGAAAGTGGAGACAATTATCCTGCTAAAGAGCTGTGAGCACATGAGGCAGAGAAGCTCTGAGCCACGCTGAGACAGGAAATGAGAACCAGAGGAGCGGTGAAGGGGCATGGAGCAGGTGAAATGAGCTGGTGCCCTGGGAACATCCTGACCTCTCCCCTCCACAGGACCAGGACCAGGCAGCCCCACCTCATTCGCTGGCTCATTCTCAAAGCATTTTCTGTGCTGGGCTCTGGGGATACTGGCTGAAGACCTTCACTCTATCTAGACTGCTCTGACAAAGGGGCACATGGATGTGGGAGGGAGAGGAAAGGGAAGACCCTAGAAGGGCCACACACCTGTCACACTGAATGGCACGGTAGAGATGAACAAGACTCACTGAAGGTGAAACACCAGCCAGGTCACGGGCACGCCCACAACCTCCCCCTGGCAAACCTTTTAAAAAAAATTATGGGAACATATATAACATAAAACCAGCCATTTTAAGTCTACAGTTCAGTAGCATTAAGGACATTCACAACGTTGTACATTACCATTAGCTAATTCTACAACTTTTTCATCACCCTGAAAGGAAACCCCCTACTCATTAAACAGTCACTTTCCATTCTCGACCCAGCCCCACAACCATGCACCTGCTGTCTCCAGGGATTTGCCTATTGTGGACATTCCACATAAATGGAATCATGGAATATGTGGCCTTTGGTGTCTAGTTTAACTTAGCCTACTGTTTTCAAGGTTTACCCAGGTTGCAGCATGTATCAACTTCGTTTTTTTTTTTTTATGGCTGAATAATATTCCATTGTATGGATATAAATTTTGTGCATCTATCCATTGGACATTTCGGTTGTTTCCACCTTTTGTCTATTGTGAATAGTGCTATTAATATTCACGTACAAGCTTTTGTTTAAATACCTATTTTCAGTTCCCTGGGGCATATACGTAAGAGTGGAAGTGCTGGGTTTCATGGTCATTCTATGCTGAACTTATTGAGGAGCCACTCCCACTTCTTTTTATAGCTTTTCATAGAACCACTGGGCTGGAAGGGATCACAAAAGTGTCCTAGAAGAGTGTTGCTCAAACTTTTGGATTTCACACACCAGTAAAACTAAAACTATCACCACCACAATCAGCCTCTTCCAAAGTAGGAGGGACTTCTGTTGGAATGAAGGCCAGCATGTAAAATGGAAATATCCAGTGTCAGACAAACTCATGGCCTCGTTCTTGTTTTTCTCATATCACCTCCACCTGGTACTGGTGCGTGGGGACCACTTACCTGGTCCAACCCCCAGCCGAAGTCTGCATCCCCTCTCTAGCTGCCCTGGCACAGGCTGGTCCAGCTTCTGTGCCTAAGGAATGCTCCTGTCCCTGGGCAGCTCAGATCCCTGGAACGTTCTTTCTCGTGGAGTGCTGGCCCCGTGCCCATGGTCTCCCCAGACCCTTGCCTCACCCTCTAGGACCCCCAGCTTCCCCCCACCACCTTCCTAAGGCCTCCTAGGGCTAAGCCCACCAATGTGAGCTACTGGCACCGGGGAAGCATGAACAAGGCAGTCCCAACTTGCAAGAATTCTTATTATTCTTTTGAGACAGGGTCTCATTCTGTCACCCAGGCTGGAGTGCAGTGGTGTGATCATAGCTTACTGCAACCCTGAACTCCTGACCTCAAGCGATCCTTCTGCCTCGGCCTCCTAAATTGTTGGGATTACAGGCATGAGCCGCCGTGCCAGGCCACTTGTGAGAATTCCTAAAAGAAATAGAATCACTAGGCTATTTATAGCTTTCAGAAGCCCTCCTCTCCAAATGAACAAGTTAGAGGCTTCAAATTGTGAACAAGTTGCAGAGGCTAAACAACAGGTTTCATTTGTCTTGTTGCCTGGGCTTATTCAAATTCCACGTTCCCCTCTGTGCTGACGACACGCAGCAAGACACCAGGAAGAGTGTGAGGCCTGCACTCAGACCAGACTGTCCCTTGTCAGCTGTGTGACCTCAACAAAGTTGGTTAGCATCTGTGTGCCACAGTCACCATACTGACAGAAAAAGGAGTTTCAGTCTGCCTCACAGGGTTCCTGTGAAGATGAGGCAAGGTGACTTCTAGAAGCTGCGCCTGGCAGACCCAGGGACTCGCTCCATAGCAGCCATGACAGGCAGGAATTTGGGCAGTGTTTTACACCTTGGATGAATGTAGTCAAAGTGGGAAGATAACTTTACATCATTTAATATACACAGGCCGACAAACAATAATCTTTCAAAGAATTAAGTCCCTGCACAAACATAACAATAAAATAATAAAAAGTGTCTATGGTGAGGAAAATAGACACTCCCTTGGGCAGAAACTAAAATGGCATTCTAGACTCTTGGCAGTGAATACACTGGCCCTAGTGAGGGCCCTATAGGGGAAGGCCAAACCTAGAGGTGGAGACAGGGTCTCCGACACAAGGATGGCCATGCCCTGTGTCTCAGCCTTGGAGAGGGCTCCAGCAGGAAATGGGAACCTGGGAGGTCCCTATGCTGATGCGAGATGGCTCCACTCTGCTGGGCAGGGCCCCAAGTTGGCGGGGGTCCTGGAGCAAAGGGAGTTCTCAAGGGCAGGGAGAGGTGGTCTCAGCCTTAGGAAGGAAGCGCAGTGCCGGGGAGGGGAGCCGAGGACAATGAACTGGGCTTTGTGCTCGAGCTCACTACCCGTGATTCTGTGTGGATTTCCCTTCTATCATTCCCAAGCTTTGGCAACAACAACTGTTATTTTTGGGACTGGATTCTCAGCTGGGGGGCTGAAATTAAGGCAGGGTCTAAATCCACTCTTAGGCTGCATGTTAAGGAGGAGCAGAGCCCCCTGAGGCCAGAGGACCCACCTCACCCAGGGAGATTCCTTCTGCAAGCCAGTCCTGCAAAATCTGTTATCAGCTTTATTAGGGAAAACATCAGGTCTCTTTACACGTTGAACAGGAACTGCTGGTTAACAAGACACGATTAACTTGCTAGGAATGGACAAGGACAGCGACAGGATGGTGCTTCACAGTGCCTCCTGCTGATGGCACCTTCATTCTGGCTGCAGAATTCTCCCAGGAAGGGTCCCGGGCTCTTCAGGAGGCATTTACTTGGAAGTACAGGTCAGCGTTATCCAAAGTTGTCCAGCCTCCGGCCTGGCCCATGTCTTCAGGCAGCTCTGAGGCAAGAATAAAAGGGACGAGTTCCCTGCCCCCTTTTTACCCGCTGGATCAGCTTCTACGACTTGGTCAAACTATCTTTCTTTCTGTCTGCCATGCCAGGAAATCCAGTGACAGCAAGACCCAGAGTCAGGCACATTTGGAGGGCAGGTCCATCGGCCACTCCTCACTTCTGTGGGCTCCGATGCCAGCAGAGCCACCTGAGCGGCTGCTACCTCTTGCCGGAGGCAGTTTCTTCTGGCCTCACCCACCCAACCATGGCTACGTCAGGGCAGAAGGGAGAGAAGAAAGAGAGATGAGAGATGAAAGGATTTAAAATGGGCAACCATCTTTGAGGTTTCCCACATCTGCACCGCTCCACAGTGTGAAAAGGGCTTTCTCACTTTCACATGATCCCTGGGGGCTACTATCCCCCTGTAACCAAAAGGGAAACTGGGACTCAAAGGGAAGAAGAAACGTGCTCAACATCACGCAGCACTAGGTCTATGTCCAGTGCTCTTTCCAGGGTAACAGGTTGCTTCTACTCATTTTAAAGGACTAAAAACAGAAAAACAGGCACCCAACTGACCCTTCCTCCCTGACGATCTAGAACTTACACATTACGTGCTGCCTTTGCACATGCCCCAGCTGGAATGCCCTTTTTCTTTTCTGCCTAAACCTGCCCTTTGAGGCCCCACTCCATCTCTCTCCTCTGGGGCGTGCCCAGGCTGAGCCTGAGCCATCATCGATGACTTTCCCTGAGCTGTATACCCAGCAGGCTTCATCACCACACCATCTCACCGACATGATTGTCTCCTCTAAGATACTGTGGGGTTCCCTTGAGGGCAGAGAAGTCCTTTTTCATCTTTGGAGACAGAGCGTACGAGTAGGGCTGGCACAGGGTAGATGCTCAGTAAACGTTCGGTAAACAAAAGAATTAAAAAATAAACAATCTCCTCACAAAACCAGCTGGCCTCCATGTAATTTTGTGGCGCTGAAGAAGAGAGGCAGGAGCCCTCCGTGGCCAGCAGGGACTTGGACATCCAGCACTCACGACACACCAGCAAGACACTGCCTGGGTGCTGGGAAACAATGCCCTCCACCCTGCAGGAGAGCTCAGGGTGGAGCCTCAGCTCAATGCCCTCAGGCTGGAGAGCTCTCAGAACAGGGACCCTGCCATCTCAAAGCAGGACCGGTCCCCTGATGTCCCACTGCCAAGCAGGCCACCTCTGCAGAGCTGCTGGGGAGAAAAAGGTGACCACCAAGGGCCCTGACCCACTTCCAGGGCTGCAAGGCCTCTTGGTTGCCGCTGTTCCAGAAAAAGCGGGGCTTCTCCAATGGTGTCCAAGGAATTCCAGTCTTGCAAAAGCACCTTGGAGAAGTGATGAGAGTAATGTGGGAGATGCTATGAGTTTCTTGGCCCTGTGAAGAGGCCTGACCCATGCTGGCATGCTGAAGGTTGTGAGAGGCCTGTAGCAAAGATGATCGTGTAGCTCGCTTTAGTGTCTGCCAAACCTACTCAACCAGGGAACCTCACCCCACTTTCACATACACACCCTACGTTTCTTTATGAAAAACCTATTATCCTGTGGAACTAGGGTTCCCAGGAGCATACTTTTGGGAAATGCTGGTGAAGGTTGCCAAGCAAGGGAGGTGCTTCTTGTGGGGGGAACAGCCACAGGCAGGCTGGGGACACGTGTGGGAAGGGAAGGGGGTGATCAAGGACCAAAAATCAGAAAAACAAGCACCCAACTGACCCCTCCTCCCTGACGATCTATAACCTACATGTTCCGTGCTGCCTCCACACATGCCCCCGCTGGGGTGCCCTTTCTCTTCCCTGCCTACCAGCCGCATCCAAACATCCCCAGAAAGGGTGCCAGGGACCTCTTGTGAACCAGCACACAAACTTCCTAGGATGAAAAGCCTTGGACACTTGAGTCCAGTGAAAAAGAAAGGAAAGGCATTGTCTGGAGCCTCTGCTGTCCTGTCTGCAAAATGGGAATAGCCCCGCTCTGTCCAGGGTCATCCAATGAGTTCATGGAGGTCTACATTTGTGAAAAGGTGACCCCCCGGTGCAGCTGTGTATCATTGTTCAATCAAACTTACCTGAGTGGAAGCTATACCAGTATATTGTTATGAAAAAAACAGGACCACAGCAAAAAGCAGGCACAAAACCTCAAAGCACATAACGTCAGGGGCCATGAATTTCAGAGGCAAACAATTCTAGGCCTACTGTTAACCCCTGAAGCCATCAGTAAATTAAAACAAGAATCACAAGTGCTTCTAGCTCCAGGAGTCTATAGGAGTTAGTGGAAAAGGCACAGGCTTGCAAGCCCACCAGGTCCGGTTCTGACCCCAGATCTGCTCCTTCTGGGCTGTTTAACTGGCAAGCTGCTTCCCTCTCCTAAGCATCCGTTTCCCGAATGTGCAAGATGAGGTTACACAATGCCACCTCCAGGGTGGCCATGAGGATGAAATGACAAAGGTAAAGCTGCCAGCACATAGTAGGGGATGAATGAGTGTGTCTCCTTAAAAAGGCTGGGACATTAGTAACCTTTGTAAAGGTGTCTATCAGTAACAGCTAAATGAAACACTTTGTCTTCAGTCCTGTGGAAAGTTGGCTTCTGTGAGTGTAAGGCTGAGAGAATTTAAAGGAAAAACACCCAACCATCAGGGCAGGGGAAGAAAACTACGAGGCTCTGGGCAGTAAGTTAACGACAGCCTCTGAAAGCCAGCATAGGGGAATGGGCTTTCATGGCTGGGGGAGGGACAGATGAGAGATGGCACCTCCCAAGGAGACCAACTTGTGGCTCAGCATGGCTCAAGGTAGAGATCAGAATTCTGTGCAGCCTACCATCGACTGGGTACTTCCTGCAGACCCAGCACTTTGGGCATACTGGTTCTAAGCTCCAACTAAGAGGCCATTGAGCTTCATCTGAACTTTGAACCTGAGTCCAGAGCACAAGGTCTGCCCACTCTACCATGCTGCCTCTCAATGTCGGGACCATCTATTTACAGGTGTTCTCTTGCCTGTCGAGAGCCTGAAGGCTCTGTATTGTGTCTGCACACTTGGCACCTGGTAGCTAACATAAATGCAACAAGCACTGGCTGAATGAGTCATTCACTGGAAAACACTTCAGAAAGCCAGTGGGTTTTAAAAGTCAGGGCCCCTCTAATTTAATAAAATATGATATGGTAGGAAACTACACAAGCCAATTCCCTTTTGAGGAACACAGCATTAATAGGATGTAGACAAAATTCCAAATTTTCACTTCTTTGCCTAGAAACTTTGAGCACCAGAGACCTTTACACAATGTGACCCATTAGCCTTCTGCTTCCACTTTCAGTGCAGAAAGCCCTGCAGTGATACAGGTGAGCACTGTGGAGTACCAGAGCATCATCTGGTCTGACCTTCCACTTTGCAGATAAGGAAACTGAAAGCTAGGAAGAAGAAGGGATCCACACAGCAGGCCTCCACTTCTTTCCTTCTATAATAGACTCTCTTTGCAATAAAGAAAAATGCGTTTGACATACACATCTCCAATGTAAGCTGTATGCAGCAGGTGCAGTGGAATGCTACAGCAGTCACATACACAGCACTAAGGGACCCAGTGGCTGAAAGGGGGTCAAAAAAGACTTCATCTGAGAGGTGACTTGGACTAGGAGGGGCAAGTTAGAAGTTTTAAGGGAAGATGTGCCAGGAAGGCTAACCTCTCACCATAATACATACCCCCCATCTAAGTCAAAAGTTGTTGCTGGGAAGCCACTATGTGGAGACTGCACATCCTGGCCTCCTCTGCATCCAGGTGGGGCCACATGACTACCAGTGGCCAAGAGGACGTGAGCAGGAGTGATGTGTGTCAGTTAAGAGCAAGGCAGGTAAGAAGCAGCCGTGCCTTCTCCATCGTCCCTTTCCCTTGCCGCCAGCCAGAAGCAAACTCTGAGGCTCCCGGGGAGGGCAGAGCACAGGATGAAAGGAGCTGAGTCCCTGCATCACTGTGTGAACCAACCTGCCAAGCAGAAGCACCCCCACTGGACTGTTACATGGGAATCTGTCTCTGTGTGTTGAAGTTTGTTGCAGCAAGAAGTACTACCAATGAATGCCGTCGACGTGAAGTGGGCATCCCGAGCAAAGGGAACAACATGACTAAGGCACAGCAGTGTGACGGGGGCAGGGCTGGGGCTGTGGCCACGTGAAGGGGTCCCGGGATTCAGAGAGCTCACGCTGGTGGCTGCGGGAAGGAGGATCACGCACAGGGGCTGTTGCCAGGGGCCCTGGTGTTGCTGGCACTGCTCTCAAAGGAAGAGTGAAAGTTGTGAATGGTTTCCTGTAAAATTTGTCTCTCGCGTCCCTGTGGAGGAAATTGAAAACAGACACAGAAAGTCTTATTAAACCTTTTAACCATTAATTCAATTGACACAGTGTTGTTAATGTTCAACTCATACTTCAAAAACCCATGGGCGTCTTGGGGAAAATAAATTACCTAACTGAAAGAGTACCGAGTTCAATAAAAACATACTGAGTCAGAATCTCCCCAGTACCCACCATCGCAGCCTGTCAATGCTGGAGAGGCCCTGGGATGCAGGACCCCAAACCCCTGGACAGAGTGGGAGGCCGAGTCCGGGGCAGGACTGACTTCTCCCGAGTCGCACGGCCCGGATTCGAGGTCTCCTTTCCTGCGCCTCTGTGCATCTTTCCAGTCCTTAGATTTCCAGATAATTCAATGGGAGCCAAGTGTCCTTCTGCTACAGGATAAGAGTTTAAACTGCCTTTGCTTCCCTTTGCCCAAAAGCTGCCGGATTTGTCTTCACAGAGATTCACTTCTCACTCTATTCCTACAACGCCCCCTGCCCCCTATACACACATTTTCAGATGAGAAAAGAGGGTGGATGTGAATGTTCTGTTAAGCCCAGAAAACATCATCACTGCATTCCAGGCTCGGAGGCAGCAATACTCAGAGGTTAAGAACAGAGACTGCGTCCTAGCCAGAGCAATCAGACAGGAAGTCAAACTGTCGCTGTTTGCTGATGACATGATCGTTTACCTAGAAAACCCTAAAGACAGCTCCAGAAAGCTCCTAGAACTGATAAAAGAATTCAGCAAAGTTTCTGGATACAAGATTAACGTACACAAATCAGTAGCTCTTCTATACAACAACAGTGACCAAGCTGAGAATCGAATCAAGAACTCAACCACTTCTATAATAGCTGCAAAAAAATAAAAAAAAAAAATACTTAGGAATATACCTAACCAAGGAGGTGAAAGACCTCTACAAGGAAAACTAGAAAACACTGCTGAAATAAATCATAGATGACACAAACAAGTGGAAACACATCCCATGCTCATGGATGGAGAGAATCAATATTGTGAAAATGCCCATATTGTCAAAAGCAATCTACAAATTCAATGCAATTCCCATAAAAATATCACCATCATTCTCCACAAAATTAGAAAAAACAATTCTAAAATTCATATGGAACTGAAAAAGAGCCCGCGTAGCCAAAGCAAGAATAAGCAAAAAGAACAAATGTGGAGGCATCACGTTACCTGATTTCAAACTATACTATAAGGCCATAGTCACCAAAACAGCATGGTACTGGTATAAAAAATAGGCACATAGACCAACGGAACAGAATAGAGAACCCAGAAATAAACCCAAATACTTACAGCCAACTGACCTTTGACAAAGCAAACAAAAACATAAAGTGGGGAAAGGACACCCTTTTCAACCAATGGTGCTGGGATAACTGGCTAGCCACATGTAGGAGAATGAAATTAGATCCTCAACTCTCAGCTTATTCAAAAATCAACTCAAGATGGATTAAAGATTTAAATCTAAGACCTGAAACTATAAAAATTCTAGAAGGTAACATTGGAAAAACCCTTCTATACACTGGCTTAGACAAGGATTTCATGACCAAGAACCCAAAAGCAATGCATAAAAACAAAGGTAAATAGCTGAGACTTATTTAAACTAAAGAGCTTTTGCATGGCAAAAGGAACAGTCAGCAGAGTAAACAGAAAACCCACAGAGTGGGAAAAAAAATCTTCACAATCTATACATCTGACAAAGGACTAATATCCAGAATCTACAATGAACTCAACCAAATCAACAAGAAAAAAACAAACAATCCCATCAAAAAGTGGGCTAAGGACATGAATAGACAATTTTCAAAAGAAGATATACAAATGGCCAGCAAACATATGAAAAAATGCTCAACATCATTAATGATCAGGGAAATGTAAATCAAAACCACAATGTGGTACCACCTTACTCCTGCAAGAATGGCCATAACAAAAAAATAAAATAAAAAAAAAAACAGTAGATGCTGGAATGGAGGTGGTGAAAAGGGAACATTTCTACATTGCTGGTGGGAATATAAACTAGTACCACCACTATGGAAAACAGTGTGGAGATTCCTTATAGAACTAAAAGTAGAACTACCATTTGATCCAGCAATCCCACCACTGGGTATCTACCCAGAGGAAAAGAAGCCATTATATGAAAAAGATACTTGCACACACATGCCTATAGCAGCACAATTCACAACTGCAAAGTCATGGAACCAACCCAAATGCCCACCAATCATCGAGTGGATAAAGAAAACTGTGATATATATATGATGGAATACTACGCAGCCATAAAGAGGGATGAATTAATGGTATTCGCAGTGACCTGGATGAGATTGGAGACTATTATTCTAAGTGAAGGAGACTATTATTCTAAGTGAAGTAACTCAGGACTGAAGTAACCAAAAATAATATGTTCTCACTTGTAAGTGGGAGCTAAGCTAGGAGGATGCAAAGGCATTAAGAATGACACAGTGGACTTTGGGGGACAGAGGGGGAAAGGATGGGAAGGGGGTGAGGGACAAAAGACTACATATAGGGGGCAGTGTATACTGCTTGGGTAATGGGTGCACTAAAATCTCACAAACCACTGCGAAAGAACTTACTCATGTAACTAAACACCACCTGTTCCCCAATAATCTATGGAAATAAAAAATTAAAAACAACAACAACGACAACAACAACAACAACGAATAGAAACTGGGCTGGGCATGTGGCATGCACCTGTAGTCCCAGCTACTTGGAGACTGAGGTGGGAGGATCGCTTGAGCCCAGGAGGTCAACTCCAGCCTGGGCAACAGAGCGAGACCCTGTCACAGTCTAGGTTTGGAGCCCATTTCTCCTATTTGCTAGCTGGGTCACCCTGAGCAAGATACTTAATCTCCCTGGGCCTTGGTTTCCTCATCTACAAAAGAGGGATGATAACAGTCCCTCAGGTGACGGCTGTGAGATGATTAGAAGGCCTCAGACACAAAGCTGTCCATTGCAGCACCATTTATACAAAGTTTGAAAATCTATATAACCAACAGGTAGGAATTTTTTAAAAATTAATTTTAGCACATTTCCCCAACAGACCCTGTGTGGGTAGCTGGAGGCAGACAGATCCTATCCTCAGAGGGCAGCAGTGGATTAAACATTTTTTTTTTTTTTTTGAGACGGAGTCTTGCTGTCGCCCAGGCTGGAGTGCAGTGGCGCAATCTCGGCTCACTGCAGGCTCCGCCCCCTGGGGTTCACGCCATTCTCCTGCCTCAGCCTCCCGAGTAGCTGGGACTACAGGCGCCCGCCACCTCACCCGGCTAATTTTTTGTATTTTTAGTAGAGACGGGGTTTCACCATGTTAGCCAGGATGGTCTCGATCTCCTGACCTCGTGATCCGCCCGCCTCGGCCTCCCAAAGTGGGATTAAACATATTTTTAAAAATTAATAAATATGGTCAAAATGTAAAGTAAATTAAAAATGTATCATCTCTGGCAGACTGTTCTCTACTAAGAGTGAAAAGGGGGAAAAATCCACTGAATGAGCCCAGACTTCAAACTTTCTTTCATTTCATGGACTCCCCATAGCCCAGAGGGGCCCCTCTCCAGACCCCCACACAGACACCTCTTGTGCTGATGAGGCCTCCTAGACTCGAGAGGACAGTAAGATTCTCCCTTCATCCCAACCAATCCAAACAATTTTAAATAAGCTGGGAAAATGCCCTCCAGATTCCATCAACACAATCCAAAGGCTGGAGGGTATGACAGAGCATTGGATGCCAAGTCAGAGGATCTGGAATCCCCACTCTACCACTGATTAGCGCCAGGATCGCAGGCCCGCCCCTTTTCCGCTAAGTATCTGTCAAATGGGGATGTTACCTGCCAGCGCTGCACTGAAGCTCACCCTGAGATAATGAATGGGGTGGCACTGTGCAAACTGCAGAGGGCTAAAATGTAAATGGAAGGGTTGACAGCAATTTTATTATTAAACACCATCTTAGCCTTAATTTCCTGAGAAATGAGGTCAGGGCAAGACAGGGTTCCGGCCCTCGCTGCCTGCTAACCTTAGGAGGGAGCTGTAGATGATTAAAACCATAATTGTTTCCTGCATCCACAACTGATTGAAGATGATAACAATAATTGCCCTTTAAAAACCCCTGAGTTTCAAAGGACCTGCCTGATAATTCTCAAAAGGAAAAAAAACAGCTATTAAATGTAGAAAAAAGGTTCAACTATCTAGCATCTCAAAAAATGCAAATTAAAACAAGGTACCTTTTTTTGCCTATCAAATTAATAAAGATTAAAAAACAAACTGATAGTAATACTGGCAAAGCTGCAGTGAAACGAATAACAAACTCTCACACACTCACAGCTAGTGGAACTGTTCACTGGCTCTTTCCGGAAAGTTATTCAGATGTACATATACCTTGATTCTGACTCTTTGACTCAGTAATTCCACTTTCAGACATCTACTGTGAGGATTAGAAGGCCTTAGACACAAAGCTGTCCATTGCAGCACCATTTATACAAAGTTTGAAAATCTACATAACCAACAGGTAGGAATTTTTTAAAAATTAATTTTAGCACATCTATGCAAATTTATATGAAAAAGAGTTCTTAATGACATGAATAGCTGCATATATTGCATATTAAAGAAAGCAGGATATAAATACGGACCCAAATTTATCTCAGTTATATTTTACGAAAATTTAAGGGTGTGGTGATGGGTGCTTATAATCCAAGCTACTCAAGAGGCTGAGGTGGGAAGATCCTTTGAGGCCAGGAGTTTGAGGCCAGCCTGGGCAACACAGGAAGACCCCATCTCTTTAAAAAAGAAAAAACAAAAAAAAGGACACAAAACACTGCAGAGTAATCTGCCCAAAGGTGAACAATGTTGGCCTCTGAGTGATTGGATTGTGATTTCTTAAAAAAATTCTTTTCACCATTTTGGTACTGTGTAAATTTAATAAAATCAATATGCACTGCATTGACAATCACAAAAAAAAGGGCAACAAAAAGAAACAATGACTTAGGACCAACTAACTCCTCATTTCTGGTAAACCTCCAATATATAACTCATCCGAAACTAACAAACTAATGAGCAGACTCGAGCACACATTACAATTCCAATACTGGGGTGGGTTCATCTGGAAGTGACGTGGCTTGCAGGCTGAGGGTCCACAACGTTTTGCTAATATTACTATGCTTAATAAGACTTGCTGATGTTATTACATTATGAGCCAGGTTTTTAGTTAATACTCACTTAAAAAATTTTAGGCCAAAATGCTCAATCTTATTGATTGTGTAAAAAAAGCATTTTATATCACACCCTGTTTTCATGTAAACACATGTAACTGAAACATCTTGTCCCTTCTATCTGCAAAAGCATGTTGCTATTTTCTATTCTATTTTCTAAAACGTGCTGCTCATGCCCCATTAAATGGATTCTAAAACCCACCAGCGTGCTGTGGACCACAGCTAGAAAGACACTGCGGGCAAGGAAAGCTGGGCCTCCCCGTCTCATGTGTCCTGGTCTGGGGTCTCTAATGTGTACAGAGCACTAGAGCCACAATGGGTACTCTCTCTTGGTTGGCCAAGCTTGCGTTGCAAAAGAAAAAGTATGAATGTTACAAAGAGAAGTTCATGCCCTATAGCAAAATTAAAGAGGCAGGAACCCTTGATGTCAAGGTCAGGCAAGTCCAGTCTAGAATAGCCAAGGCCCAGAGCATCTGAAGGCTGTAAGGGCAGTGAACCGACTCTTGGAAGCCACCTTTGGCCTGAGGAGCTCTTTGCACATCTAAGAACCAGCACGCAGTTGCAGTGCTAACTTAAAATAATGCAGCAGAAGTTAAATTTGCTTTTGTACTATTACACTTCTCCTAAACATGCCTTTTCTCTATGACTCATGATGATACATGGTCTTCACTTCCAGAGGACTTTATCTGGTATTATTTACTCTTGAATAACAGGATCTTTCTCCAGGGAAGTGGTTCAGATCGGCTCCTTCCCCTTGCACCTATTACTGTGTGGAACTGCCTGACTTTGCAGGGTGGATGCTGCCTGTTGGGGGGACACAGGTGGGATTGAGTGGTGCCTTTGGCCTGGCATGTCACAGGCACCTGGGCCTCTTGGTTGTGAGCTGGTGAGCTGGGCCCCTAAGCAGGACCACTAACAGCTGTCCCTTCTGCTTCACCTGATGGGGCCTGTTTAGTATAGGATGCAGACTGTCGCAGAAGAGGGAATGGGTGGGGGGGAGGGGGAGATGAATTTGAGAGGCAACTGAAAAAAGGCTCTAGTTTATATAAACTTTAAGAACAATGTCCTCCATCGGGATGGGCTCAAGATGTCATGTCATTCACTCTGATGATGTCAGTTAAGTTTCCTAAGGTTTGCACACTAGCCCAGTCTGTCTGCTTTTTGTGATCCTGGGCCAAGGAGGCCGTAGCCACAGAGGGCACAGGGGAGGTTCTGGAAGCATTAGCAGTTGCCATCTGGTGGCATCAGCTCCTGGCCTGTCCTCTCACTGGCCCTGCCTCCAGAACCTTTTCCGTCCTTCTTCCTTAACTGGCTTAAGCTTGGATTTTACTCACTCCATCCTCTCCTTGGCTCACACATCTGGCCTCTGGAGGCGAAGAGGAGAAAGGGTCCTCTAACGCCTGGGCCACAGCCCTCCCCCGCCCCACCATCACTCACCCACCTCCCCTCCCCAAAGCCCTTTCCCTTACTTGACTGAGTCACCCTTTACCACCCTGGGGGCCTTGCTCTGTCCCTTGGGCCTCCCCACATGTCATGTCTCTTGCTCTGCACTCCAACCATTCCTTTAGTTCTTTAAACACACTGCACACCTCACTACAGGGCCTTTGCACATGTGCTTCCCTCTGCCTGCTCCGCACTTTTCTACTACCCCTCTAACCAGTGGTTTCCACTCTTGCTTCAGGTCTCAGCTGCCTTGCCACTTCCTCAGGGATGTCTTTTCAGCCCCGATTCTAAGCCAGCTCTCACAGCACCACCTGCCTCTCCTTTATGTGCTGTGGGTTAGCTACACTGAGGCAGTTGGAGACCCTGGGTGAATTCCTCAACTTCTCTGAGCCTTGGTTTCCTCATCTACAAACTGAAACTGACTTCTGTGGCTTTCGTAAGGATTAAATGAATGACTATAATGTGTGACATGCTCAGAGCACAATGCTTGGCACAGAGTGATTCTGAATGGTCAATACCCGCATGGTGCCTGAGACATAAAGGCTCTTCTTCATGAATAAATCAATGCCCCAGTCTTTAGAGACTGTTTTGGTTGATTCACCTTCTGTGAGCCACCCTCAGGCTTCAGTTTCCTGGACGATGCCCTTCCTGACAGCCGAGATCTGCCCGCCTCTGACAACCTCCATACCTGCCTTACCCCCCTGCCCTCCCCCTTGACATCTAACAGCAGAGCAGAAGCGGTGCTGGTCCGGAAGTCAGGCATCACTGCCCAACTCTGAGCCTGGGCTTCCCTATATGTAAAGTGAGGTGGTCTAGGCCCACGCAACAACCAAGAAATGTTTAGAATCCAGCCATTTACAGAGGAGAAGGAACTAGTAAAGACTGGAGGAAAACTACTTGGCCTTGGGATGCCCAAGGCAATGCTAAGGGCATCCCTTTGAAGGATCACCTTATAGCCTTCAGGCAGGTAATAAGAATGACGACAGTGACAACAAAAACCACCACCTCCAATCCTGGCAGGGCTGAGAGGAGCCGCCTCTGCACAGCACAGTGCTGCAGAGAGGTGAAGAGAAAGAGGCCAGGAGGCCTCGGTTTAGCGTCTCCCTCCACTGCCCACCACCGCGTGACCTGGGCACCATGCTCCCCTCCCTAGACTGTGCACCCTCACCAGCCAGACAAGGTAAGTGTAAGGACATCGGCCTCCTTGGGCTGTCTACAGGACTGATGAGGAAACGTATGCAGTGATTTGTAGATGATAAAGTACTACATAAATATTTATTTGCTGCTGGTGGTATGTGTCTGTTCAATATTTCTGTGCATAGTCCAGCAACATACAGAAACAACCATAAAAGTGGCCATGCTCTCTGATATCTCCACATATCGTGGAACACAGCCCAAGGAACAGCAACAAAAAAAGAAAAAAAAGAGGAAAAAGGCAGAGATGTCCATTATGGCAATATTCATAATAGCAAAATTCCAGGCATGAGACTACTGTTCAACAAGTGGAAAGCTGTTAGGCCAAGTGTGAAAAAGCAGCAGGTAAACAGGTACTGCGCATTGTTGCTGGAAAAAAAAAAAGCCACCCTTTATTAAGAAAAAAAAGCAGACAGCAAAGGAGTTCCAATAGCCCAATAGCAACTACAACGAAGCTTGCAAAGTGAGTGGGGATTTGTCTTTTTTATTTTTGTGGTTCTTTTTTGTTTTTGGTGTGTGTGTGCCTTTGGGTGGGCGCGGGGTGAGGGCACTGATATTTTTAGCTTTAAAGCTGATGAGAAATTTAACATGAGACAAAAATGTGGGAAGCCGACAATAGTGACTGACGGCTCTCTGTGTGCCAGGAGCTCTGCTGAGCATTTTAGTCCTTGACACACCACCATCATCCCCACCCTACAGACAGGGACAGTGAGGCTCAGAGAGGTGTTTGCCTCACCCCACACAGTGAATAAGTGAAGGAGCTGGGATTCAAACCCAGGCCAGTCTGATCCCAGGGCCTGTTTGAGCCAAAGGCTCGAAGGCTCTGCTTTCACAGTGCTCCCGAGGGCCACACCTAGCCCTGTGCATTGGTTACCTGAGCGAAGATTTCAGCTCTATCTGGGGAGAAACCTTACGGGGGAAGTCCGAAAAGGGAAAAGGCCATGCTGGGAGGTAGTGAGTGCTTGCTCACTGTCAGAGAGAGGAAGTAAGACCTTCCCAAGATCCCAGGACCCTGGTGAAGCTCTCAGATGTCTGAAACACGGAAATACAAGAAACAGAGAACGGTACCTTGCCTGCGTTCAGTTCAGAAATCGCTGCCAGAATCTGCTGCCTGGACCCATCTGTCTTAATTCCCAGCTCCTTCAAGTCACCGTCAGTCAGTGTGAGGAACGCTTCCATGTCCACCTGGGGAGAGAGAGGGGATTTGCCACCATCTGCTGGATGCCACAGTTTCTTCCCAGTCACAACAGCAATCTCATGATTATGAGCTATGAGTGCTTATTAGTAGTAAACTGATGATGATTTACTACTTCTAAGTCCTGACTTTATGTTTAGAGTTTCGTTGAAAACATTTTTAAAAAATGAACTCTCCTCAGATCTGGCTCTTGGATTTTCTGAACAGATGCATTTTAGGAAGACCCTTAAAATGAGCCAGGTAAGAAAAATCTGGGATAGTCATCTGGGTGGCTAGAATAGGAGAAATCCAAGGCCCGCTATTAGAAAGGTAACTGCAATGTTGCTGTACTTTTAACAATATCGGATACTGTACAAACGTATGGCAGTACTCACCTCATCTCCCTCACCACGCACGAGACAGAGACAGACTGTGGAAAGAGAGTGAGGAAATAAGCAGAAGCAATAAAGGAGAGAGGGCCATGGAGAAGGAGAGCAGAGCTCAGAATAAGGGCATCTCAAAACTGCAAGCCTTGGTTTCTATGGGTGAGATCCTAATGGCTCTGTCAACCCTGCCTGGCCCGTGGACAGGAAATCAGGCCCTCTGCTCCACTGGCTCCTGTTCCTCTTCAGCAAGGTGGAGGGAAGGTCAGAAGTGGCTCCAATGAAGCAAGCACACCCATCACCTTGCATGTCGGACAACAATGGCCTCTGGCATGGGGGTCCACACCTGGCAGGATCCAATCCAGGTCTACTGGGAAGCCAGTCTCACCATCAGACCAGAGGAGGGCAGTTAGCAGTATGTGTGCAAAGCACCTTCTGAGGACTTCAGATAGACGGAGTCATTTAACCCTCATGACATTGGCGGGGTAGATCACTATCCCCACTTTGGAGACAGGGAAACTGAGGCACAGAGAGCTTTTTTTTTTTTTTTTTTAGCATTCAATGTAACATGGCCAGTAAGTGGCAGGGCCTGGCTTTGAACCCTGGCAGAGGGCTCCAGCATCCTCGCCGTTCTCCACAATGCCACATCACCCTTCAGCCGCAGATTCCCCGGCCTCCCTCATGGGCTTTTCCTGAGGGCAGTAGCCCCCTTGTTAACACGACTTGACCTTCCCTAAGCATTAAGGGATTGGGTCCCCAGTCCGGGCCCTTCCCCCTGGGGAGCTGCTATTGCAGACAATGCTACAGCTTCACAAATCAGACTCCAACAACAGCGCTTATCTGGGAGATGGGACAAAGAACTGGCTGCCCACACCCACGTCTTCAGCCAGAGCTAAGCAGGAGGAGGCTGTGCTGCCCTGGAGACAGATAGGGTGCCAATTCCCACTCACTGCCAGGGGACCTGGGCAGGTGCCTTACCTCAGTTTCCCCACTGAAAAATCACAAACAATCCCACCACATAAATTACAGGGTGGATGCGGGATCTACAAAGAGTTTACAAACAGCTTTATGATCTACATTTACAAACTACCAGATACTATTACACTTTAGAGATATGCTACTGTCATTTAAAATAAAACTTGCATAACTTCTTGAAAATCCTTAGTCTTTCACTTTATAAGAAGGCTTTATTTTATATTCCCTCATACCTAACAAGATTAACATTTTTTTTCTTTAAAACATTTGATTTATGTAGGGATAGAGATTTTCTTTCTGAAATTTTCCCCGCCCCCACCTCTCCTTTTCTCTGTTAACAGTCATTTTACTTTTCTGGATTAAAAACAAACAAAAACCTTCAGCCAGGTTTGAGTCACTGGGGAAGAGTCTGTTCCCTTAACCAGTCCTTAGCCCCCTCTGAGATGCAGGCACCCCCACCTCTCTGGCAACAGTAAGCTCCTGGCATCTCCTGGGTGTTTTATAAAAGCTCACGGAGTGCTGAGGGGCTGAATGGATAGGTGATGCAGTCTGAATGGAAACCACCTGCCCCCCGCCCTGCTGGACACGAGTCTTTCCCCACCATCCCAACCCCTAGCAGGGACCCCACATCCAGCGTGGCACCATGGCCAGTCCTCAGCGATTCTGACATCCTCAGCACCTGCCCTCTTGGTGAGGGGCCCTCCACCTCCTAACTGGTCTTTCCCTCCCAGTTATTCTTCCCCTTCTGCCCTTCCAACCCCTGTCCACCTCCACACCAGAGGTAACAGACCTTCCAGCCTGCATCTACCTCAAGCCCATGGTGTACAGAAGCAAGTCCACATTGTCCAGGCCCTGACTGGTCAAGCTCCATTCCCTCCTCCTGATGGACTGGCCTTGGCCCAGTCCCAGCCAAGCCAGAGTACCACAGGCTCTCTCAATGAGTCCTGCTCCCTCTTCCCAGATGCCCTTCCAGGTCCGTTCCCCCTCTTTCTCCAAAGTTCAGCTTAGCTCTCAGCCCAGGTCTTCTCTGGCCCTCATTTCATAGACCCCCTTCTCTGGGCTCCAGAGTATTCTGGGCATCTGCATTTCCCAGCACCAGGCTCTGGCAGAGGGTCTGGCAGGGGCAGGGTCTCAAGTACTTAGTATGCGTTTGCTGAATGAATGAATGACAGCATCAATCAATCAATCTTCTGCCTCTCCATCTGCACTGACCTTCCCAATTCTGACCTCCGTCAACCCTGGGGGATGCCAAACCCTCAGGGCTTATTCTAGGTGGAGAGCACCAGAGACGGAATTCCTCTCCTACGACTACTTGTGAAGGGGTAGCAGGAATAAGGCAGAAATATCCCAGTATCCTTTCAATATTCATGCCCTATTTTTTTTAAGCAACAGAATCCCAATTTTTAGCTGGGCACATTTCCACACAGTTAAAACATATTTCTTAGTTTCTTTTGCAGTTAAGTATTGTCAGGTGATAAACTTTTGGTAAATGAGATATAATAAAGACTGTGTGGGACTTTGGGGAAGTCTCTTTAAAAAGGAGGGAATGTGTCCTTTTGCAGTCTCCTTCCATCCTGCTGTCTGGAATGTGGATGTGATGGCTGGAGCTCCAGTAGCCATATTGGACTTTGAGGATACAAGCCACATACACTAGTGGGGGTGGAGCAGAGAGCTAGAAGGAGCCTAGATGACTCATCTCCAAACTTTTTGTGGGAAAAATCACCTTATTTTTTGTTTAAGGTACCATTATTTTGGTATTTTTCAAATACACATAGTTAAATCCACCTTAATACAGGTAGAAAGATGAAAATTATTAGTCTGTCTTTAGCTTCAAAATGGCAAGATGAGAACATGAATTAACTTCATTCCTCTTCCATATTCTCACTGATAACTATAAGTGCATTATTAATGGGGATAATTGTTTACTGTTGGAAACTAGGGAAAAGTGCTATCTACATGCCCTTTTGCAAGGGACTGAGAAGTACCCCTGAAGCTGTGGTGACTGGGTCTGGTGGCAATCAGCAGGGTTAAAACCTCAGTCCTACTAAAGCCTCCAAGGAAAACACTGGGTTGTGGGTCCATATAGAGAGTGCACCCCTACAGTGTAACCAGCTCATATGTTGCCAGAGAGAAACTAAGTAAAAGGAAGAGACCCTGAGCTTGGCCCCCAGCAAGCACAGCCACCTGTGTCAAGTAGAGACAAGGGCACTGCCTCAGCTAACCTCACACGAACCTAACACACAGAGAGGTCCTCAGCCAGTGGCTGCCAGCCCTCCCCATGGCACTGCCTCAGGCCCCAGCTCCCTCCCTGACCCCAGAGGCTGCAGAAACTTCTAGGTGGGTGAGTTACTAAAATTAGAGCAAATCTGCACAGCCTGCCTTCCTCTCCCCGTGAACATTCTCGAAGCTCTGTACGTCAGCTGAAACATACCCCCGTTCCCTACGCTGGACAACCACAACAACCTCTGAACGATGAAGGACAGGTGAACTCGCAGACATGCCAGGTCAGAAAAAGGGGAAAGGCCAATAAATCAGAACAAATGTCACCCTATGAGCCAGGGACACGATACTTCAAGAAGCAGAAGTGTACTTTGAGATGTGTTCTCTGTACACTCCAAGAAGGCATAAACATATCAGCAAAAGCAGGCAGCGATCAGCAATACGGAAAGATTTCTTGGAGAAAGTCACTGCTAAGGTTTAAAACACCAAGGAGGCAGGAATGGCAGACTGTATATGGTAGAAAAGCAAACAGGAGGAGGAAAGCTACGCGCCCTATTTGTTTCTTGAACTAAAATACGAGCTCCTCAACTGCATCTCAAGTCTGGTGGGGACAATGAGTGATTCTCATGATTGCTCTGCAATTGTGTCAGTTTTTACCTACTAAGCTGCTCACTGGAACGTTCTAAACCAGTGATTATACCCTGGAGGCTGGTGGGCCTGTGGAGGAGTTTTACTTGGCTAAAGCAGTAAATTTTTTAACAGCTTACTGAGATATAATTCATCTACCATAAAATTCACCTATTTATACAATTCAATGATTTTTAGTATATTCACAGAGTTGTGTAACCATCACCACACACTTTTAGAACATTTTCATCACCCCCAAAAGAAACCGTGTATCCATTCTAGTCACTCCCTACTCTGCCCATTCTACCCGCCTACTCCTCCACCCAACTCTCTGGCAACCACGAATCTACTTTTTGTGTCTACAGATTTGCCTAGCCTGGACATTTCATATAAATGAAAGCACACCCTACGTGCCTTTTGTGACTGGTTTCTTCCACTTAGCAAGATGTGTTCAGGTTCATCCACGTTGCAGCATGTGCCAGTATTTCATTCTTTTCATGGCCAAATAACATTCCATGGCACAGGCATATTTTATTTATCCATTCATTAGTCGATGGACATTTGGGTCGTATCCACAGTTTGGCTTTCATGAATAATGTTGCTACAAGCATTTGTGTACAAGTTTCTGTGTGGACACATGTCTTCATTTCTCTTGGGAATATACCTAGGAGTAGGACTGCTGGGTCACACGGTAACTCTATATTTAATATTTTGAGGAAGTGCCAAACTGCAGAACAGTATTCTTTTTTTAATGTGAATCTGAATGCTTTTAAACACATAGCAACTCTCTCAGACCACCACTGACCCTAGATCCAGACACATAACACAGGTTCCTTAGGGTTTACTATTAGCTCACTTTAAGCCTATAAGTCTGCCAGTCAATCACACACAACAAAAAAAATGTTTTCAGGAGAGGAAGAAACTTTTCTAGAGAGAGCAGTGCTCAAAATTACAAAATTCTATCATAACAAAGCAAGCCATAAGTCCCCAGGATTTCACAATAACAAACTGAACTAATCCCGCTAAGCACGAATTCTATTTCCTCAACTGTCTCAGTGCAAGAGATCAATCTAGGCTTGCAAAATGAAAACCTACACATTTAGACAAATTTTTCTTTCATAGTAAGATTTAAATTGACATTCAAAAAGAGCATTCTTACCTCTTGTTCCTCAAAAATGGGCTGATATTTCTCAAGTGATAATTTCTTAAGGATTCCAGTCAGTTCATCTTCAAGATGGAAAGGTGAAAAAAAAACAACACATTTTAGAATTTGGTAAAGTGGTCTTCAAACCTTTATAAAGTAGTGGTAATCTTATTTCAAATGAAATTCTATAAGAAACACCAACACAGAAAGCTGATCTCAGCTGGACTCCTGCAGATGAGGCTGGAGGTGGGTCCTGAGCTACCTGCACCCTCTTCCCCTCAAGGCAGGCCCTCAGCAATCAACAAAACTCCACGTCAGGCTGTGAAGACACAGAGAGTCTGGGCCAGGACTGACTGATTCCCTCCAGACTGCGACCCTCAAGTTCTGGAAGTTCCAGCTGCCAGAACTAAAACTCTGCCTTCTGTGTGAGAAAGCACCATAAATGCCAATGCCTGCAGTAAATGCCAATGCCAGCAAGTCCTTAGCTAGTGTGAGGAAGAACTTAAGAAAGAAGATGGTGGGCTTCAGACCAGAACCAGGGTTTGGCTCAAGTGTGCAGAGGCTGTGGCCTTCCTGAAGGAAAAAGGCATCTATGTGGAACAGCAGAGCCACAAGGGCACAAGAAGATGATTTGGGGTGTCAGAACAGGGAGAATAAAGAAAAGGAGACAAAACCAGCACCTGAGGGGCTTGGAGAAATATTTACTCACACATTCAATAGGGATTTGCCAAACTAGGAACTGGGGACTCAATAGATACCAAAACAGACAATAAGAAGGCTGACAGAGGCCGGGCAGGTCGTGCATGCCTGTAATCCCAGGATCTTGGGAGGCCAAGGATGAAGGATCACTTGAGGCCAAAAGTTCAAAACCAGGCCTGGCACTATAATGAGATTTCATCTCTACAAAAAATTTAGAAGTAATTAGCCAGGAGGTGTGATGTGTGTGCCTGTAGTCCCAGCAACTCGGGAGGCTGAAGCAAGAGGATCACTTGTGCCCAGGAGTTTGAGGCCACAGTGAGCTGCAATTATGCCACTACACCATTGCACTCCAGCCTGGGCTACAAAGCAAGACCCTGTCACAAACAAACAAACAAACAAACAAACAAAGGCTGATAGGCAAGACAGCAAGGAAGAAGAGAGCAGCATCAAGGTAAATGACAGCATTTCCAGTTTTACAAACGCTGTTTTACAGAAGATGGTCACGGAAAGACTCTCCTATAAGGTGATCTATGAGCAGTAAATGAAGGAGTGAGCTATGCAGATATCTGGAGTAAGAGCATTAGGCAGCATCCAGACAGGGAAGAGCAGGTGTAAAGGTTGTGAGGCAGTGCATGCAGCTTAAAGAAGTGATTAGGAGGCTTAGGTTCCTTCTTTTTTTAACTCATTCATTCAACCAACCTTCCTTCCCTCCTTCCCTCCCTCTTTCCCTTCCTTCCTTCCTTCCTTCCAGCAGTGACTACCACTGTGCCCAATGGACACTAGGTAGCAAGGATGGAGAGGTCCCTGTCATGAAGCTCAGTGTGGCTGGGAGGATAGGATGAGGAGGATGAAAGCTAATACACAGTGCTATCAGCCAGCCTGTACATGGATGACCCACTTGCTCTTTACAACACCAATGAGGTAGATCCTATTACTGTCCCCATTTACAGATGAGAAACTGAGGCACAGAAAGGCTTGATACCACATCTTGGGTGAGGTCATCCTGCTAGTCCGTGGCAAAGCAGGGACTCAAGCCCAGTGGTCTAGCTACCAGGCCTGTGCTAGGCGCCCACTCTCCACTTTTCTCATGGGTGGTGCATGCTATGGTGAAGAGCAACAACAGGGGGATGTGGGGACAGAGAGAACAGCTGACCCAGCCCAAGGTACTAGGGAAAGCTTCACAGTAGAGAGGCTACTGAGCGAGGATGTATGAGACAAATCAAATCCCAATCCACACATAATCTGTTGTATTTCATGACACCAAACCTTTGCTCCTGCTGTTCCCTACACATGCAGCCTTGGTCCACAGTGGTGTGCTGGTAAATGTTTAACAACTGGTTCTCGGGGGAAGGTGTATGCATGTATATAGGCACATAAATCTATTGCAGATTTACTGATATAAAGGATTTATAGCACACAATTTACAAATAATAAAAAATACAATATTCTTTCTTATAAATTCCATATAGCCAATTGATTCTCACCAAATGCTTTCATTTGTTTTTGCCCTACTCTTGTACCCACAGCCAAGGAGTATGGTTCCAACATGAACACTGGCTGAGAGTTTTGTTTACATGAACAAGAAACATAAAAAAGAAACAACAAAGACTTACGTTGGAACTTCAGGTGAGCAACTTGGCTGAATCAGATAATGGTTTTCAAATACTGGAAGAGTATTTTCTCAATTTTTTGTGCTACTCACAAGATAACGGTTACAGATACAACCTACTTTTAAGTTTAATCCTCATTGTTAACATTTTCCCATCACTGCCTAGATTACATGTAGACAATATCTATAAGACAACAAATCAAGCCCCGGATTGCTTGAGACCAGGGAGGTTGAGGCTGCAGTGAGCTGTGATCACACCACTGTACCCCAGCCTGGGTGACAGAGTAAGACCCTATCTCAAAAAAAAAAAAAGCAAGCCCTGATTGATGGTGTTTGCCAATTTCCATGGTGTAAATACCCCCATCATAGCCAATTTCAACCTACCAATCTAATGCCCCTGAAAGTGAAGCTGAGCAGAGATGCGCAGTAGGAACACATCATTACGGGGTATTCACACTGCAGGTATGAGATATACACAACCTCAAGAGCACAGATAATAAAATATACAAAAATGAGTAAAAAATACATTTTAAGTACAATATACTGTTATATTTCTATAATTCAGTTAATTCGAAGTTCATGTAATTTGTAAATAATGGTTGTGTTTAACAACCAGCTTGGGCATGTCCTATAAACTGAACAGTCGGCTCTGGCACCCCACTGCCCATCTCTTCCCAGTGTCGTGGTCCAGCTGGAGTGCCCGCTCACCAGGGGAGCCTACCATGGCACATGGTGCTTTGCTGATAACAGGTATGACCTCACCTTGTGTTACACTCTAATGTCATTATGTTGAATGTGTCTGTATCCCTGTGAGTTCCCCTGGGTGCATAGGTTAGGGCATCCAGGGGACTGCCCAAGAAAATTTCCTGGAACAAATGTGAGGCTGAGAAGGTGATGCTGTCACCAGCCTTGCTGCTTCAACAGGTGGAGTCCAGAGAGGAGGAATGCAGATGGAGACATGAGGCAGGGAAAAGCTCACGTGTCCTTGACTGGGACCAAATATTTCCCAGAAGAATATAATAAAAATAGCTCTTTGGGGGCCGGGCGTGGTGGCTCACACCTGTAATCCAAGCACTTTGGGAGGCCGAGGCGGGCGGATCACGAGGTCAGGAGATCGAGACCATCCTGGCTAACACGGTGAAACCCCGTCTCTACTAATAATACAAAATAATTAGCCAGGCGTGGTGGCGGGCACCTGAGGTCCCAGCTACTTGGCAGGCTGAGGCAGGAGAATGGTGTGAACCCGGGAGGAGGAGCTTGCAGTGAGCCGAGATCGCGCCACTGCACTCCAGCATGGGTGACAGAGCAAGCCTCCGTCTCAAAAAAAAAAAAGCTCTTCGGGGATGGATTGCAGCCCCCGGCCTATAACAATCATATACCCACAGGACAAAGGGCTCGCTGCCTCAGGACCCAGGAACTCTCAACAGGAAAACTAAGCTTTATGAACCAGAGAAATTATTCTACAAAGAAAGTGCTATTGGCCCTCTTCTTTTTTCATCCCAATTAGGACTCTGCAAACCATTTTTAATAATGAACAAGAGGGAAAGAGAGTGGGTACAAACAGTCCATACAGACATCCACTGTCTCCACTCTTTTTTGGAAAACAATGGGGCACAAATACCTAACTGAATCTCTAGGGGCTTCAATTCCTGAAAACCTCAGAGGTGGGAGAATTCACGAGTGTGGAACTCAAGACTCCACATAGAAAATATGGTTGGGGAGGAATGAGTTTGCTGGTGAATCTCTGAGGCCTTGATAAATGATCACACTGGATATCACAAAACAATAAAAGCAGCCCCCAAATAAGGAGGACACCAGTGGCAGCATGCATTTATCAACTTAGTACAGACTAGAGCCTGTGCAAGTGATTCCAACTTATCTTGCTCAGCAGAACCTGCTCAGCACCCTACTCCTCAGCAGCTGCAGCGAACTGCCCGCAAACGCATTTGTGAGGGCCACGAACACAATCAGATTTTCCTCCCTGCTGACTTATACTCCTCGATTTGCACCTGCCTGGACCCCAGGTCTCACCAAAGCTTCCTCCCTCTTTCCCCCATCCCAGCTCCTACAGGCCTCTAGAGGGCAGTTTAAAAGGATGGGATTCCTTTCTTCATCTGCCTTTATCTTTCCTGGGGCCTGACTGCAAAGCCTCTGCTCCTGCCCTACCACCCACTCCATCTTCCCTCATCATTCCCGCATGGGGGCTGCAGAGGCTGTAATTCACAAGGCAGGTTCCAAGGCTCTCCTGGTTGCAGCAGACATCAACTGCTTTTGCTTGCCCTCACCCATCCCCCTTCTCCTGGAAACAGTATTTCCAAATTTTCCTTTGAGGAACTATTTCTCTCCCACTTCCAATACACATATGTCAGTAGGTTGGACCCCAACTCCGCTCCAAAGCAGACAACTGACCGAAGGGGCATGGCCAATCACCACATTCCACCCCTGTGGACACAGAGATAGTCAAGGGAGGGCAACTGACCTAGGTCATTATAAATACAGCCAAGCCAATGGCCTTTACACTTGGGATTTTGCTGGACCTACTGAGAAAGTAGCACTCGTTCTGCTGGAGTTGAAAAATTGGTGGGAAGACAAAAGTATGCCTGAAGCTGCTTGCCACCACTTGGAGAGAACCTACCTGAGACCTGGAAACACTCCCAAAGCACCTGAATTCAGGCATGGTTGAAGCACACCCTAGACACTCCCATCATATGAGCCAATGAAATGTCAGGTTTCATTTTTTTCCCTTGAACCAGTGTGAGTGGAGTTTCTCTCACTCACAACTGAAAGAATCCTGACAGGTACAGGGTCCAGGGAAAGTAAGTTCGTGTTGGAGAAGCACTTCCATGGGTGTATGTTTGTGCATGTAAACAAAAATCACCTATACTCAAAAACTCTTTGAGGGAGCTTACCATACCTTTAGCATAGTGAAGACAAAAATACAAGGTACAATCAGAGAAGAGGAGGGACATGTTTGTCGTAAATCTTCTTAAAACCTGACCTAGGATGGTTATAGCAATTAAGGTCACCTTGCAGTTCCTTGCTGCCAGGTCATCATGGTGAGAGGAATAGGTGGGGTTTCAGGCCCTCAGGGGACTCACCCTCATCTGTGATGGTGCCACTGCTGGAGCCCCCACTGCTCTTGGACTGCCGATGGGATGACGAGGAAGACACTGAGGACTCTGCAGTGTGCCCTTTGGGTGAGGGGGAGGGCGTGAGGGTTGGAGAGGTGCTCTTGGAGGTAGTGGAAGTTCCAGATGGAGGCCTTTTGCTGGTCTCCAATTTCTGCTGAACAGAGTAAGACAAATACATAAGCCATCACCTGTAGGGTAGAAATGAGGAAAACAAGACACCCACAACAGGGAACATGGGTGGTATTTGATTCAACATGATGTTTAACCAAGACTATGAAATCTACTTTTAAAAACATGGAAAGCAGAAATATCATTATCAGAACAATTAGAGGAAAATGCAACCCTGGAGCAGAGATAGGATAAGATCAAATAGCTGCATATTATGAGTCAGGAACCACCCCGCTCCCCACCCCGCCCCGCTCCCCCAATCCCAGTCCTGCCCTCCAGCTACTTGCATTGTGGCTTTGGCCAAGCCCCCCGAGCTCTCTGGGCCTCAGTTAACCAGCTGTAAAATGAAAGTCTGGCTTAGGGAGGCACAAAGTCTCTTTCTGCTCTTGATGCTCCTTCATCTACACCAAAGAACACGTATTCTTCCCTTTTTCTCATTGGTTAGCTTTAAAACAAAGGCTTTTTACATTAAAATAATTCTAGACGTATAGAAGAGCTGCACAGAGAGAACAGAGTTCCCACATACCCCTCACACAGCTTCCTGATATTAATATCTACATCGTCACAGTATAATGATCAAAACTAACAAGCTGACATTGACACAACACTATTAACTAAACTACAGACTTCACTCTGTTTCCCTGGCTGTTTTGCTTATGTCCTTATGCTGGTCCAAGATCTGATCCAGGAACCCACACTGCATGGAGCTGTGCTGTATCTCTGTAGGCTCCTCTGACCTGTGACAGCGCTGTCTTTCCTTGTCTTTCATGACCCTGACACTTGGGAAATCTTGGTCAGGTATTTTGAAGAATGCACATCATTTTGGGATTATCTTAAGTTTTCCCATAATTAGATGTGCTTGTGAATGTAGGGGGCAATGAAGTGATATGCCCATTCAGTGCATCGTTATGCAGAGAGGACACAGTATCTGATTACTGGTGATGGTAACCTTCATCACTTACATGAGGGGATGTCTGCTGGGTTTCTCCATTATAAAGTCACTATTTTTCTTTTTAATATTATTTGGGCTGGGCATGGTGGCTCATGCCTGTAATCCCAGCACTTTGGGAGGCTGAGGCAGGTGGATCACAAGGTCAAGAGTTCAAGAGCAGCCTAGCCAATATGGTGAAACCCCATCTCTACTAAAAAATACAAAAATTAGCCAAGTGTGGTGGTGGGTGCCTGTAGTCCTAGCTACTTGGGAGGCTGAGGCAGGAGAATCACTTGAACCCGGGAGGCAGAGGTTGCAGTGAGCCGAGATCGCACCACTGCACTCCAGCCTGGGTGACAAAGCGAGACTCTGTCTCAAAATAAATAAATAAATAAATAAATAAATATACAAAATAAAATATCCTTTGGGAGAAGTTTTTGGGTAAATATTTATTAAGGTTCTGCCCATTAACTTTGCATTCATTGGTGAGTCTCACTGAGGCAAGTGTTACAGTGGTGTTCCCATGGTGATTTTCTATTGCCCTCCTTCCTTCCACATTTATTATCTGTAATACTTCTATAAGGAAGAGTTGTTCTTTCTCTCCTATTTATTTGCTCAATCATTTATTCCTATCAGTACAGGCTCATGGGTATTTTTTAAGCTCTGGGCCATAATCCAATATTACTGTTATTTTGTAGCTCATTATTACAGCTTTGGCCATTGTGAGATCTTTCGGGTTGGCTCCTGTACCCTTTTGACATGCGCCATCTTTCTTTTTTTTTTTTTTTGTCTTTCTTTTTAAAAGTATTTGCCTACTTTCTGACACCACAAAATATTCTAAGCTCATCTTATGTTTCTGCTGACCCAGTACTAGAATAAAACACTTCTCCAAAGCTTTCCAAGGTCCCTTTTATTAGAGAATGGTATTTAGAAACCAAAATCTGGGTACTAGGTTGCTCACTGGTACTGGGATGTCACTGCTTCTAGGTCCTCAAAGTGGACAGAGCAAAGACATATATACACTAACCGATGTATACACACATAGCCATATCTACTTTTATATCTACTAACTCTGTGTGTGTGCAACTCTCTGTGTATTTAAAAGCATGCACTCATACTGATTCATACCGATACCTCTGACTTCAACCCAACATCCACAGAGTTTGTTCTAGCATTTTTCCTTTGATTCTGTCTCTGACAGTAAAAACTTTGCTACTTATTTATTCAATCCTGGTATATATGTTAAGTGTACATGTACACAAAAAAATTTTTAGCCCATATCCTGGTAAGGATAACAGAATTGTTAGCCCATATCCTGGTAAGAAAAAAAATATCAACTAGAGTACAGTACTTGTATACAGTACTTTTTGTCTTTAGCCTAATATCCACTCAACATACGATTTTCTCCTCCACCTCCTACAATGTGGTTAGGTCATTCATTTGAATACACTTAGATCTTCTGTCATAGTTTGCATTCTATCTTTGGTTCCTGGTTGATTTTGTTTTTTTTAATTTGCATACAGTAAAAAATAGCTCTGTTGTACACAATTCCATGGGATCTGAAAAACACATAGTGTTATGTATCCACCAAGAGGGTACCATACAGAAGAGTTCCATCATCCTCTGAATGTCCTTAAGTGGTCCTTTTCTAGCTAATCCCTCCTCCTAATCCCAAGCCATAAAAACAGCGCTCTATGTTCCATCCTGTGACTAGAGACAAAAAAATAAACTATTTTTCCTCTATTCTTACCCCACAACAATCAACACAGAATGTGTCTGTAACCAAAGGTATGGAGCTTTCTTCCCCTACACACCAATCAATTAATCAGTTCTGCAGTGGACACCAGCTAAGTATCCTCCAATTCAAGTCTGACATGATCTATCCAAACACAGCATCAAATCCCACAGGTTGAGGGCTCAGTCCCAGGAGACTGCCCCCACTTCAGATGCCAACTGAAAGCCCCAGATTGTTTTACCTGTGCTTTTGACTGGCTATAAATCAGAGTTCCCACAACTCCCTCCTTGGGTTTGATTAATTGGCTAGTGGCTCACAGAATTCAGGGAAACACTTACTTACATTTATGGGTTTATATGGATTATTATTCAGCCATAAAAAGGATGAAATCCTGTCATTCAAAGCAACATGGATGGAACTGGAGGACATTATGTTAAGTGAAATAAGCCAAGAATGGAAAGTGAAACACTGCATACTCTAACTCATATGTGGAAGCTTAAAAAGATGATCAATGTAAGTAAAAAGTAGAACAGAGGATACTAGAAGGTGGGAAGGGAGAGACAGGAAGAGATTTGTTAAAAGGATACAAAACTATAGCTAGATAGGAGGAATAAGTTCTAGTGCTCTATACCACTGTAGGATGACGACAGTTAACAATAATATATAGTTTCAAAAAGCTAGAAGGAGGATATTGAATCTTCCCAACACAAAGAAATAATAAATGTCTGATATGATGGATATATAATTACCCAGATCTGATCACTATATAGTATATGTATCTAAACATCACTATGTACCCCCTAAATATGTACAATTATTATGTGTCAATGAAAAAAAATAAAAATTTAAAGATATTACCATGCATAGGGCAAGGCACGGAGGAAGGGGCAAGGAGCTCCCACACTCTTCCTGGGCATACTACCCTCCAGGAGTCTCCAGGTGTTCAGCTGTTTGGCTCTCTGAACCCAGTCCTTTTCAGGTTTTCATGAAAGCCTCATTATGGTGGCACAATTAATTAAATCATTGGCCACTGATTATCAACTAAACCTTCAAACCCTCTCCCTCTCCCCAGAGGTTATGGGGTAGAGTGAAAGGCTCAACCCTCTAATCCTACCCTCTAATCCTGCCCTCTAATCCTGCCCTGGTCTTTGCTGTGACTGGTTGCCATCCTGGAGCTACTTAGGGGCTGCCAGCCATCAGTCAATTCATTAGCACACAAAATGACATCACTTTGGAGATTCTAAGGATTTAGGAATTGTATGACAGGAAACTGGATGAAGACCAAATATACACTTCACTGTTATCACATATCCCTACAGTGTTGCTGTTGCCAGAATCTCATATAAATGGAATCACACAATTTGTAGATTTTTGGGTCTGTCTTCTTTCACTCAGCATGATGCCTTTAGGATTCATTCAAGCAATCGCACGTATCAATAGTGTGTCCCTTTTTGATGCTGTGTTGTGTTCTATTATTACATGAATGTACTACAATTAGTTTATCTATTCACCTGTTGAAGAACATTTGGGATGTTTCCAGTTTGGGGTGATTATTTTTTAAAACTAATGTAAAGGTTCACAGATTTTTGTGTGAAGAGAAATTTTTTAAAAATCCACCTAGTAGTCAGTTAGCTGGGTCATATCATAAGTGAATGTTTAGTTTTATAAGAAACTGCCTATCTTTTTCAAGGTGGCTGTACCATTTTGCATTCCTATTAGCAATGAATGGGAGTTCCAGTAGTTCCACATTTGTCACCAGCAACTGTACCTTTTTAAATATTAGCCAGTCTGACAGGTATATAGCTCTATCTTAATTATGGTTTTAATTTGCATTATCCTAGTACCTAATGGTTAAACATCTTTTCATATGCTTATTTGCCATCTTTATATTTTCTTTGATGAAGTATCTGTTCAAATATTTTGCCCATTTTTACATTTATGTTTTATTATTGAATTGAGGGTTCTTTATTTAGTCTGGAAAAAAAGACTTGATTCTTTATAGAGATAGGACCTCACTCTGTAGCCCAGGCTGGAATGCAGTGGCAACATCACAGCTCACTGCAGCCTTGAACTCTAGGGCTTAAGCAATATTCCCATCTCAGCCTCCCGAGTAGTTGGGACCACAGATATGAGCCACTGCACCTGGCTCCTGGATAAAAAACTTTTTCCAGATCTATGATTTGAAAATATTCTCTCCTAGTCTGTGGCATGACTTTTCATTTTCTTAATGGTATCTTTTACCAGGCAAAAGATTTGAGTTCTGATTAAGTCCAAATTTGCCAATTTTTTCTTTTATGTATCATGCTTTTGGCACTGTGAGATACACGTGGAGGTTCCTTTTCTTGCAATATGGACATCCAATTGTTCCAGCACTCTTCATTGAAAAGACTACCCTTTCTCCACTGAATTGCCTTTGTACCTTTAAAAAAAGAATTTATTTGGCTTTTCTTGTGCGGGTCTATTTTTGGGCTCTCTCTTTTGTTCCACTGATCTATTTGTCTGCCCTTTTGCTAATACCACACTGGAGCTTTATGGTAAGTCTTGAAATTAGGCAGTGTGAGCCTGCCAACTTTATTCTTTTTCATATGACTATTATAATTTTTTGTACCTCAATATAAAATTTATAATCAGTTTCTAGATCTCTACAAAAAGAGCTTGCTGGGATTTTGACTGGGATTACATTTAATCTGTAGATCAAATTGCAGAGAATTGGTATCTTCATAATCACAAGCCTTCCATCTCTTCATTTATTTAAGCTTCTTTATCAGTGTTTTGTAGTTTTTGACCTTTTGATTCCACACATATTAGATTTATACCTAAGTATTATATTATATTCCATATAATACATTTTCACATAACTTCAATTTCATACATGTTAAATGTATTATATTTTTAAAATTTCAAATTAAAAACATTCTAAATGTCCTAATGCTAAATGTTTATTACTACTGTAGAGAAATACAGCTGACTTCTGGATATTGACCCGTATTGTATCCTGAGACTTTGCTGGACTCACTTATTCATCCTAAGAGCTTTTGTGTAGATTCTTTGCAGTTTTCTATGTGGACAGTCATGTCATCTAAGAACAGATATAGTTTTGTTTCTTCCTTTCCCATCTGTATGCCTTTTATTTTTCTTGCCTTATTGTACTAGCCATAGTATTTGGTACAAAGTTGACAGTTGGAGGTAAGAGACAACATCCTTGTTCCCAGTCTTAGGAGGAAAACAATCCTTAACCATCAAGTATAATCCTGGCTATATGTGTTTTATGTCAGATTCAGGAGGTTTCCCTCAATTCCTAGTTTGTTGAGAGTTTTAATGATGAATGGATTTTAAATTTTGTTAAGTGCTTTTTCTGCATATTCTTTAGTCTGTTCATACGGTGAAGGCTAATGATTGATTTTATAATGGTGAACCAGATTTGCCTTCCTGGGATGAACCCCACTTGGTCAGAAGGTATTATACTTTGTATTTAATCATGGGATTAGATTTGCTCATATTTTGTGAAGGATTTTTATATTTATATTCATGAGGGCTACTGGTCTGTCATTTTTCTTTTCATGTTAGTCATAAAAATGCATCCTTGTTCCCAATCTTAGGAGAAAAGAAAATCTTAGGGATTTTCTATAATAATATAATAACATAGGGGTCAATTCTCCAAGACATGCAATCCTAAATGTGTACACAGCTCGTGAGGCAAAAACCAACAGAACTGAAAGGAGAAATAGACCAAACTGCAGTTATAGTTGGACACTTTAAAATTCCTCTCTCAGTAATTAGTAGAACAAGTAGAGAGAAAATCAGTAAGAATATAGAAGACATGAACAACAGTAACAACCAACTAGACTTAATTATACATTTATGGACATTTATAGAACTCCTCTCCCCCAACAATAACAACAGAATGCACTTTCTTTCCAATTGCCTATGAGAAATTCACCAAAAGAGATCACATTCTAGGGCACAAAATAGACCTCAAAACATTTAAAGGGATAGAACTAGAAACAGAACTATAATCAAATTAAACTGAAATCCCCAAAAACAGAAAGATTTCTGGAAAACTAACAAATAATTGAAAAATAAACAATACATTTCTAAATAATCAATGGGCCAAAGAGGAAATCTCAAGAGAAGGGGAAAATATTTTGAATGGAATTAAAATTAAAATATATCAAAATTTGTGGGATGTAGAAAAAGCATCACATAGAGGTAAATTTATAGCATTAAATATCTGTATTAGAAAAAAAGAAAGATCTCTAAACTGTAATCTAAGCTTCCACCATAAGGAACTAGAGAAAGAAGATAAAACCCAAAGGAAGTAGAGGGAAAGAAATTATAGATAAGAGCAGAAATCAATTAAATTGAAAACAGAAAAACAGAGAAAATCAATAAAACCAAAGTTGGTTCTTTGAAAACATCAATAAAATTGATAAACTTCTAGCCAAACTGATTAAGAAAAAAAGAGAGAAGTCACAAATTACCAATAGAGGAATGAAAAAGGAGACATTCCTACTGATCCTATGTAATAAAATAGTAATAGATACATACTACTAACAACTGTATATCCATAAATTCAACAACTTAGATAAAAGGGAATAATTCCTTGAAAGATACAAAGTACAAAAACTCACCCAAGTAGAAATAGAACACCTGAATAGTCCTATATCTATTAATGAAATTCATTCTGTAAGTTAAAACCTTCCAAAAGAGAAAACGGCAGGCCCAAATGGTTTCCCTGGCAAATTTTATCAAACATCTAAGGAAAAGGTAATAAGAATTCTACACAGTATCTTCTAGAAAACTAGAAGAGGAGACAATACTTCCCAATTCATTTTATGAGCCAACGTGACAGTTTTTTCTTTCAGTACTTTAAAGATGTCACAACACTGTCTTTGATTTGCATGATTTCTGACAAAAAGTCTGCTGTAATTCCTATTTTTGTTTCTCTGTATGTAATTTCTTTCAAGAAAAGGCTGCCTTCAAGATTTTCTCTTTGGCTTGTTTTCAGTAGTTTAAACATAATATGGAGGGGTACATTCTTTTTGGTATTTACCCTATTGAGCATTCTGTGAACTTCCTGGATCTGTGGTTTGGCATCTGTCATTAATTTGAGAAAATTCTCAACCATTATTTCTTTTCATTTTTTAAGCATTATTTCTTTACATATTCCTTCTGCCCCACCTCTCTCTCTTCCTGTAGGGATTCCAATTACCTCTATGCTGTGGCATTTGATATCATGCCATGACTACTGAGTACTGATGTTTTATATGTGTTTCTTCTTTCTTCTCTTGTGATTCAGTTGGGGTAAACTCTACTGACCTAACTTCAAGTTCACTGACTCTTTCCCTGGCGGCCTCAAGTCTACTGAGGTGCCTGTCAAAGGTATTTCTCAACTCCATTACTGTTTTATTTCTAACATTTCCATTGGGTTCTTTCTTATAGTTTCCATCTCTCTACTAAAATAGTTACCCATATGATCTTGCATGTTGTTTATACCTTCTATTAGGACCTTTAACATATTAATCACAGTTATTTAAAATTCCCTGTCAAATATTCTAACACCTTTGTCAGATCTGATTATCATGATTGCTTCATTTCTAAGGAGTGTGGTTTTTCTTGACTTTTTGTATGTCTTGTAAATTTTGCTAAAAATTGGACATATTATATAGTAGAGTATAGACTAAGATTTCTAAGCATAAATGGATATATCTTTCTTCCTACTAAGCCTTTAATGCTCCTTCTAGCTGATTATATGCCTGAGTGGAAAAAGAAGACCCTCCCTGAGGTTTTGAAAGACTTGCCAAAAAGCTGGCTATACTACTAATAAATTCTCTCTTTTCTCTGCTCTTTCCATGAAGACAGACAATCCCAAATAGAATCTCTGATAAAGCAGGAGATAATTAGTATATCCCCACAGATCTATTCCAGCCAAAAGCAAAGAAACATGATACTCTGGACCATATGGGCAACATACTGGGGAAGAGGTGGGTAAATATAAGATTATTTGGGATTCTGTGAAATATTTGAATTGTTCTCAATATCCGTTGAGTGGTAGGCTGATTGTGTTAATGACATCATCTCTACCCCTCCCTCTGTATGTAGTTCTGTGTGCTCTCCTGCCACAGGCATACTAACTTGCTTAAACAACCTGATTGGCTTTCAACCCATGCCTTCAGCCACTGCCCTGAGAACATGTCCAAGCTTGTTGTAGACACATGTGGCTCAGTTGTCCTGGCCACCTCAGCCACCAGCCAGGTGAGTGATCCTGCAGACCAGAGAACTGCCCACATAAGTCCAGATTAAACTGCTGACCCACAGACACACAAGCAGCTAAGTAATGTTTTTGTTTGAAATGACTGAGCTTTAAGGTAGGAATAGAAAGCTGATATATCTAGTAGGCCTTTAGGCCTCCAGAGATCTGGGAAGTATTGGTGCACACTCTAACGCCACCTATGCTGTGTCTCTTGGAACTCATATCACACTGATTCACGGCCCTGCTAGATGCCATGCCTTGTGGATATTCCACCATTACAGCGAGTTATTTTAAGCAAAGTACAAAAACCAGATTGAGGAGGCTCATATGTTGAATACTAACTTCTAATTTTTACTAAGGTTATCTTTGAAAAAGCACTTCATGTCTCTATCTTGCTGCTGGGATAGAAAGCCCACTTCTGTGTCCTTTGATTTAAGACTGTGGTTTCTATGAGCCCCGGACTGGGCTGGTTCCAACAGATGCTCTGGCAGGAATAACATTCCCCAGACCCTCCCGAGAGCCTCATTCAGGTATGCTGGGGTGGAGCCCAGAAACCTGAATTTTTAGATAGCTCCTCAAGATCATAACATACTATTAACATTATGTTATAAATGTCAGGTGATCATTGAAATGGATGGTTTCCCCAGTTTACTGCTTCCTGAATGCATCTTTTGATACAATCTCCTTTCATGAGAATATACTTATATATAATGTATGATCAATACATCAAAATAATAGTTCATATAATAGAGAATAGTTAATATAATTTATAACTTGGAAATGCCTTATTTCCAATAAAAATTAAAGGAAGCTAACATATAACACATCCAATAAGACCATCAGAATAGAAACAAAATTTTAGACAAGAAACACTATATCAAAGCCTCAAAACAGTAGGCTTCATGAGTAGCTGAGTTTCCTAGTAGCAAAGGCAAAGAAAGAAATACAATAATTCTAAAAATTCTTACTATCTGATAAAATAAAATATATCAAAGTATCAGTAGAGACTTTTTTCCTCACAGCCGAATTATAAAAGGAACTTAATCATATAGGACGTATTACACAAATTATTTTGAAGATAAAAAAATGGAAAATAAGCAAATGTGTAGGGAGAAAATCTTTTTGGAGCTATACTGTGAAAGGAATCTAATTATATAGGTCCTATTGCACAAGGGATCTTGAGTAACAAAAAGAGTTGTGTAACCAAGAGTGGCTGGGCAGAAAATGACTATTTCTCATACAGTACATGTACATCCTGGGAGCATAAATCTCTGGAGGCGCTTCTTTGGTGGGCAAAGGTCCATGGATGAGGGAGGCTTTCTGTGTTTGGACTTTTCTCACTGAAGGAAGCTTATGACATCTAAGAACTATGAAGAGTGGGGTTTTGCCTGGACATAGAGTCCCCTCAGAGGAGGAAAGGGTTATGCTGCACTACTGGGGAGTCACTTGGTGGAGGAGCCAGCTCACACTCACGACTAGGAACCCGCACTCTGGGGGCTCACCCAGAAATCAACCAAGGCAAAGAGGTTCAGGAGGCAGAGGCAGAGTCTGAAGACACTAAAAAACTTCTTGTTCCAGGAAGGCATCTAGGTTTTCTTGCTTACTGCATTATCTGTAGATGCTAACAATGTGGTGACTGTTCTCTGGCTGCATTAATGGAAGCACAGTGCCCAGAAGCAGGGAGACAAGGTCCCGGCTCTGTCCTGCTCATGTCCTTCCTTCAGCTCCTCCCTTAGGCCACGCTGTCACCTCTGGAGTGCTACACAAGTTGTTCCCTCACACCAGAACAGTTGCACCAACACCCCTGGCCCACCCACACCCCTTTTACCTGGCTCCATTCTCATCCTTCAGATCCCCATCCAGATGGCCCTGATGCCCTCAAACCTGGGTAGGGCCCCCCACCTGTGCCCCTACAGCATCCTTCCTGCTCCACAACAACCCCTATCACACTGAGCTGTGACTGCCTGTGTCCTTAGAGCGGTTGCCAAATTTCCCAGTTCACAGTTGGATCCTTACTGTTAGCTGTGCCAGGCACAGAGCAGATGCTCCCAGGATGTATACAGTGGATGAATAAGGTTGAAGGACAACAAAGACCACTAAGAACGCTGTCAACAGGAACAGCCAACACGGACATGAGCTTATCCTGTGCCAGGCCCTGTTCTAAATGCTGAGGTGTGGGGCTGAGAGCTGAACCCAGGCAGGTTGCTCCTCAACTCATGCTCTTAAACCATTCATCCTCATCAATGAACAAATGTGTGCAGTGTGAGGCTGGGTGACCTGTGGGACTGCAGGAAGTGGGTGTGTACCCTGCCACTGTGCAGCAGCCCAGTGCCCCTCAAACCTGGAGATGTGAGGGGAGGTAAACGCCTGGTGCGGAGGACCATTTCAGCCCTTCTCATGCAGCCCAGGAGTGGCTGGCTGGAAGGGGCCTGTCTTTAGTCCTGTCCCATGACTAAGGCACTGCCCATGCTTCCCGGCAAGTGGCCCATGTTAGAACAGAATCTGTGAGTGTAACAGGAGGAGGCCACACAAAACAAGCACCTTGCCAACAGGAGCGCTGCCACCTGCAGGGGAGGCTGGAAGCTCAGACGGGCTGGACCCCGGTGCTGGCCCCACAGGGCTTGACCGATGGCTGGGTTTCTGCTCCAATAATCCGGCTGCTTTTTTCCTCTGGGCAGCGATTTGGGACAAGACATTGTCTATGCTGCCACCTGAGGAAACACAAAATGAGTGAACACCATGGGCACAGAGGGCTTACTCCAACACAAGGGTGGTGGACTGTCGTGTGATGATTGGGTTGGAGCCAGTCTCCCAGACTCCCTTCCCCATGTGGCTCCAGGACAGGACTGACCACAGGAGAATTCTGCAGGAGAACCAGGAGGTAGATGTTTAGGCAGCAGGCTCTGTGCTGCGAAGGCGTAATGGTAAGAGGTGGGAAGCAGCAGCAAAGGCAAAACCCAGTCCATCCTCGCTTTCCCCGTGCCACAGCCAGCTTGTGCCGGCCCCCACCAGGCACAGATGCAACACCCTGCACTCGATGCCCACAGAAGCCCCTCTGCAGAGCCGGCCAGCAGCTGCACAGACCGTCTTGTCTGGCTGCACCAGGGCTTCAGGAGGGCTAGTGAGTGATTGGTCCCTCACCCTTTGACTCTCCCTTTATGTGGCCACCTACTCTCACGACTGAGTCAATAAATTCCCAATTCCATAATGCTCAGAGTGCTCTGCTTCCTGACTGAACCCTGACTGCCATTCTCCCTCACCCTGCTTCCCAAATCTACTGGTAACCTTGAACTATTATAAAATAAAGGGGCCGGGTGCAGTGGCTCACGCCTGTAATCCCAGCACTTTGGGAGGCCGAGGCGGGCAGATCACAAGGTAGAGATCGAGACCAGCCTGGCCAACATGGTGAAACCCTGTCTCTACTAAAAATATAAAAAATTAGCTGGGTGTGGTGGCGGGCACCTGTAATCCCAGCTACTTGGGAGGCTGAGGGAGGAGGATCGCTTGAACCCAGAAGGGGGAGGCTGCAGTGAGTGAAGATCGCACCACTGCACTCCAGCCTGGCAACAGTGAGACTCTGTCTCAAAGAAAAAAAAAAAAAAAGAAAGAAAGAAAGAAAAGAAAACAGTGATAATACCCAGGGCTGGGGGGTGCTCAAGAGGGACACTAATGACTAACATTTATAGAGGATTTACTATGTGCCAGGCGCTGCTGTAAGTATTTCACATGTTTAAACAGAGCCATTCTGGAGGGCAAAACATATCAAAAACCTCAAAAATAGGCATACTCACAAACTCAGCCACCCTGATTCCAGCAAATTTAAATAAATGAAATCACTGAACATACAGGTGAATATGGAGGCATGAAGGTATTACGTAGGGAGGTATTACCTATAAAAAGCAAAAATCTAGGAACAGCCTCAGTGTTCAACACAGGGAATTGGTTAAATGAACTGTGATGCCTCATACAAATGGAATACTGTTTGATTATTAAACAAGGTGCTGTAGATATATATGTATCAACATAAAAAGGTGCTCACAATCTAGCAATGTGAGGAAAAAGAAAAAAGCAAGTTACAGAGCAGTTTATAGTTTAGAAAGGCACGTGGTTCCAAGAACAGGCTCTGAAGTGAGACTGCCTGGGTTTGGATCCTGGCTCTGCCAACTAATAGCTATTTGACCCCGGACGAGTTATCTAACTGTCCTTAGCCCCAATCCCTCATCTGTAAAACAGAGGTGGTAACTTCACTGCCTGCTGGGGCACTGAAGGAGATAATTCATTCGAAGGGCTTGGCACGCTACTTGACAAATATTAAGTGCTCCATAAATTATTGTGCCTTTTTATAAATATTCATAATCTATAGAAAAACACTTTCCAAATATATATATGAAAATGGTAATGATGATCTGTAGTGGGTGAGATTATACTTTGTTTTAGTCTCTTGGCTCATCTGGTCTTAAAGCTTTTTCCACTAGAAGCAGGGTGGCTGATATGGTTTGGCTGTGTCCCCACCCAAATCTCATCTTGAATTTCCCACAATTCCCGCATCATGGGAGGGACCTGATGGAGGTAATTGAATCATGGGGGCGGGTCTCTCCTGTGCTGTTCCCATGATAGTGAATAACTCTCATGAGATCTGATGGTTTTATAATGAGGAGTTTCCCTGCACAAGCTCTCTCTTGCCCTGTGCCACGTAAGATGTGCCTTTCAGCTTCTGCATGATTGTGAGGCCTCCTCAGCCTGTGGAATTGTGAGTCCATTAAACCTCTTTTTCTTTAGAAGTTACCCAGTCTCGGGTATGTCTTTATTAGCAGCGTGAGAACAGACTAATACAGTGGCCTTCCTGCAAAGCTGGTTTTGGTTAATCCTGGATGACCTTAGGGAGGACTAGAAAGTATGCTGCAAGCCCATAATAACTTTGGGGCACTCTGCTTTGAGATCTAATTGCCACCAACTTGCTGTGTGACCCTAAGCAAATCTCTTGCCCATTGTGAACTTCGGTTTCATCTGCTCAATGAAGGGGCAGAATGAGAAGCTCTCCAGGGTCTAACCTTCAGAGATTTTAAACACCATGAAAACATCATGCACTTCCCTTAATCTCTTGTAAAATTTTACAAGAAAAAAAAAAGCATTCTGGACTTTATCTTCCTCCATCTCCATCCATCTGCATCCCCAAGAAAATGTGTAAAACTCTGAATTGGGAATTCACTGAAAAATCTCTTAGCCACATTAAGGAGAAAGTGCCTCTTGCGTGGTCATTTCTGCGACTGTCTGCAACCTGAATATCCAGGCAGTGCACACCCTCAGTCCCAAGGGATCACCCCACCTCCCTGAGTGGCCCTGCCCAGCTACTCACCTGAGCGGTTAAGCAGCTCCCCACCGTGCCGGCTCACACCTACCCCACTGGAGCCGCCCGATGAATGAGGCGAGTGGTTGAAGTTTCCAGAATTGGCAGAAGAGGCTGGGCTTCTGGGGAGGCTTGGAAATTTAACAGGCCTGACGGGTGTCTACAAGAATAAGGCAGGTGCAGCACTTAGGGAGGCTGCTCCTCCCTCCAGCCGTGCAGGATCACAGTGTGGGGGTTCCTGTGCTCAGCTGGTGCATACCCCACCAAAGCTCGCTGTGCCCAGCATGGCCCTGCCAGGGCCCAGCTGGGGAGTCCCTGAGGGATGGAGCTTGCTTCTATGTGCTGACAACTTGCCCATTAGCTCAGTGAATCCATGTCACATCATTTCCCATGGGCCACCTTGCTTTCAGTCTCATTCAACTCCAGGGCCTTCCAGGAAAAAACCTGACCATGTTATTCACTGACAACCCACGGAGGCCTCAGCACATCCAGGACAAAATCCAGCCCCCTCAGCACCGCCGGGCACAGTGACCAGCACCCCAGCTCCAAGCCTGCTTCCGTGATGCTGCCTCTGTTGGTCCCTCAGCCTGAAATGGATCTTCTCCTCCCCACATCCTTTATGGTGTCTTTCCTGGCCCCATTGTCCCTGGTGCCAGTGCTCCTGGTCACGTCCTCTCCACCCTGACCTCACTCCACCCTCTGCTTCGCTTGCTCTGCTCCAGGCACACCAACCTCCTTTGGGTTTCCTGCTGATCTTTTTTGTGCCTTGGGGCCTTTGCCCAGGCAGTCTGTTCTACATGGACCCGGCGGCTCCCCCCCATCCTTACCCCACTCCTCCCACAGCGGCTCCTCCCGGTCCTTGGCTCTCAGGTCTCGGAGGCCTTCACTGCCTAAGCGGTATAATATGGGCTCTGGTCTAGGGTGGGCTCCCGTGTAGGGCAGGCTCCTCAACACACGGCTGTGATCCCTTCCAGCACCCTCTTCGCTTACACTGTAACTCTTACCATGGCTTGTGAGTGTACATTTACTGCGGTTGCCTGTGTGTATGATGCCCCAGTGGACTGCCAGCTCCATGGGGACTTGGTTCTCTGCTATATGCCTAGTACCCAGCTCTGGCCTCGGCACAAAGAAGGCACTCAGTAGATGTGATTAAAGGTTGCAGTGGGCTGAATTGCAGCCGCCAAAAAGATACACAGTGTCCTAATTCCCAGAACCTTTGACTGTTACCTTATGAGGCATGAGAATGAGGATGAGCTTATATGTGCTTACCTAAGATGTGCCCAAGTCAAGGATTTTGAGAGGAGGAGCTTATCCTGGATTATCCAGGTGGGCTCTAAATGCAATCACATGTATCTTTATAAGAGAAAAGGCAGAGGGAATTTTGACAAATGAGGAAGCAATGTGACCACGGAGGCCGAGACTGGAGTGATGCAGCCACAAGCCAAGCGAAGCCTAGAATCAAGAGAAGCTGTCAGAGGAAAGAAAGGATCTCCCCGGAGCCTCCCGAGGGAGCAGGGCCCTGCTGACACCTTGATTTCAGACTTTCTGCCTGCAGGACTGTGAGAGAATACATTTCTGTTGTTTTAAGCCATGCAGTTTGTGGTGACTTGTTACAGCAGCCATAGGACACCAAAACGAAGGTCCTCTTGTTGGTCCTCTACTGTGGGCACTCCTAAGGGAGAGACAGTGACAGATCCCAGGGCCCTGGCCCCCCACTGTGGGCACTCCTAAGGGAGGGACAGTGACACGATCCCCAGGGCCCAGAATGAGGCCCCTCTGCTGAGTAAGCGAAACAGAACACACTTGCAAAGGCCATAGCTCACGTTCTCTCTCCCTCTACCTGGGACGCTGCTGCCTGCACTCCACTGGGGAGAAAACTCTTCCACAGCCTGCAAATCCCAGCTCAGCTGTCGCCTCTTCCTGGAGGCCTCCCGAGTGCCCTACCACACACGGTCACCTCTCTGGCGCTCCCACACTCCTAACACTGCTCCCTGCCTCATGTTCTGTGCCTGTGTCTTTGCCACCCAGACCACCACCTCTTCTAGGGCAGAATGGGGCTGACTGGGCTACATGGCAGTGGGATTCAGTTAATGTTCACTGAGCAAATGAAGCAAGTCAAGTTGATGTTCTGTCCCTCTAGGGTTAAATTCTCAAGGAAACACAGCCATAGAAGAAGTCTCAGGGATGGGTTCTACAACTCCCCCGTTCCTACCTGATCGAGAATAGTGGACTAAATGCAAACCTGTCCTGCCTGTTTTGAGAGCATCTCCAGGCGCCAGGCTCTTGGTCTCCTGCAGGTGATCTCATACTATCATAGCCCTAGGAGGCAGCAGTGAGTGCTGGGGTCAGCCCCATCGTATAGAGATAGAGGCCACACGTTTCTCCAATCACCCAGCACATGGCGACAGGGTCAGTCCTGAATCCCTTCGTCTTGCCCATTTGCTGCATCTACCATCTAGATACAGGTTACACACAGATACCTTCCACACTGATGAGACTGTCAATTTCAGAAACAGACCAAGAGCCACCAAGTTAGAAATCACTACAGTCAAAAGGATAGAAGTCATACTCTTGGGCACAAGAAAACACCAGTAGCACACAGAGTTGCCGCTGAGTGTTTGCTCTTGATTATGGTTCACTCACACTTGGCTGGTGATCTTCAGCTATTACTCCCACTCCCTGGGTCCCAGTTTCCTCATCTACTAAAAGGAAGGTTGGATTAGATGGATCAGGTCTTCAAACTGTGCTCCTTGGAGATCTAGGGTTCCAGTGAGGGGACAGATGTTCCCTGCTACCTCAACATTTTAATCTATTTTCCATACTGAGTTGCTCTGTAGGGCTTCATTAGACAAAAGGATATCATCCATTCAAAAGAAAAAAAAAGTTGCAACCCCTCTGGATTCGTCGGTTTGAGGTCCCGCTGCCTGGAACACACCATGATCTCAGTGAGCAGTGAGTGATGTGTAAAAGTGTGTCAGAAGACAACTTACAGTGTCTGTGCCCCCGCCGCCCACGGGGTGGCCCCTGCTGGCTCTCTGGGGCAGCGCAGTCTTCATGGGGTCTGCCTTCCCGTTGTGACGCGTCCGGGACCGATCAGAGCTCCACAGCTCAAAACTGGAAGGGGGTAGGAATGGGGGGATGACTGCTTTCAGCTTGTCACTCGGGAGTCTGGTGAGGGGAGCTCCGTTTCGAAGCTGAAAAAGACAGGCTGAGGGTTAGACAAGCCCCCAGGAGGGCTCCCAACTCTGCAGGAAAGACTCCATGTTTTTCCTGCTTCTTGGGGCATGGCACCACCATCCACCCCTCCACCCAAGCCGGGAGCTATGTGGCATCTACAGCTCTCCTCCCAGTAACCGCACAACACCCATGTCTGCTCTGCGCCAACACCAGGCTTCTTCTGGATCTCTCCTCACAGCAGCAAGATCAGAATGGGGCAGAGGAGACAGAGCGCCAAGGAGAAGCAGATGATGTTGGTGTGCTGTGGGGGAGGCAGGGGAACTGGGAGAACACAGAGGAGGGGTGCCCCTGCTGCACAGTGAAGGCACCTTTGTGGGAACCGAGCTGAGAACGACAGTTTAAGCTGGGCCAGTGAGGACCAGGAGGTGCATTCCAGACTGAGTGAGGGGCCAGAATATGGAAAGGCCTGGAACCTAGAGGAGCAGGACATGGGTGCAGTGCTGCAAGGAGACCAGCATGAGCAGCCATTGGGAGTGAAGAAGGAAGCAGGAGGTGATAAGGGCTAGGGCTCAGCACCACTCTCTTCCCCAGCCCCCCACATCCCAGCTTGCTCCAGCCACGCCTCCTGCTGCTGACATTTAATTGTAATTTAATTTTTAATTTTGAAAATGTGATTTGGGGGTCAGTATAAAATCTACACAGTAATGACTGTTAGATCTTCAAGGAAGTGTTCACAGACCAAGCTCACCTTAATTAAGAAAAATAGTGAACTTTGTGCCAGATGGAGCTTTGCAGCAACGGGCATCCCACAGCTAAACTCGCCTCGGGAGCCGAGCAGGCGGGCATCTCCACACTGATGGCTGCACATGCCCATCAGCAGGGCAGCCGGGCCACCCCACCCATTATGGGGGGGCAGGCACACTGGCGCCCTCTACAGGGCATGAGCAGTTGGGGAAGTAGTACACCTCCGGGGTTCCCAGGCTGGCTCTGTCCTGCTTTTCTGAGTCTCTAAACAAGTGCTGTCCCCTCTTTCCCTCTAGACCACAACAAGCTCATCCAGCAAACGGGGTTGAGTTGGAAACTCACAGCGACAAATCCACCACCACAAAAGGGTATTTTCCCTCCCTGGGGTAACAGTCTAAATTGTTGCTATCTTTCTGGAAGCCAATGACATTCACAACCTTTGACCCAGGAATTCCATTTCTAGGTATTCATCCTGAGCAAATAATCAGGCAAGTGGGGGAAACGAAGGTATAAGGACATTCATCTGAGCTGTTAAAATAACAAAAAACTAGAAATCCCAGAGTCTGACAGTTCAGTCTTGGATAAAGAGACACGTTCCTACACTAGAATGTTCTAATGTAGCCATTAAATATGATGTGGCTACATGGTGTTTTATGACATGGAAAAGATGGTCACAACACATAAATCACAAATAAATTGGATTCAACACAATATGGGAAAGATACTAACAGTGCCAACCTCAGGAATATTAAATGAGCTGATACATGCAAAGTGCGATGAATAGTAGCTGGTACTTAGTAAAAGCTATGGTATTTGCTATTATTATATACAACATCATATCATATTTATACATGCTAAAAAACTGCTTACAAAAAATACTCAAAAGACATATCCATAAAAATGCCAACCATGGTTATAGTTGGGTGTGTGATCAGGGATGAATTTATTTTCCTTCTATATGTTTTACTGCTTCTTCCAAAATTTCTAAAATAGCATTTCTGTCTTCACACCAAAAATAATTATTGCTATTTAATAACATGATCAAACGTCAGGCAGCACAAGCCCCCACAGTCAGTGTTCGAGCCATCAATTTACACCTGTTGGGGTGGCAGGGAGCCGTGGGCAGATTGGGTCAGGACCCCTCGCTGGGCTCTAAAGTTCCTGACACTGCTGATGCCTTTTCTGGGAGCCCCCTCTGCTCCCTTGTCCTCAGCAATACTGCCCTCTGCTGGCTAGTATTAGGGTCTTAGCGCTAAAGGGACTCAAGTCCAACTTTAACCACTAAGCTCTCATGTCAGAGGAAACAAACGTGAAACCCAGAGAGGGGAGGTAACACATCCAAGTTCACACCACGGAGCTTATTCTGGGCCAGACACTATGCTAAGAACTTCCTGGGAGTGATCTTGTTTAAAAACCATAACCATGAGGGATCCCCGAAGTCAGAGACTGCAAACTGTCCCCCAGTATCTACTTTTCACATCTTAGAAATGACACCCCTAATGTTCATTTAGATGGGCACAGGACCACTTGGAACAAAGACTTCATTTCCCAGCTTCCCCACTGTGATTTAAGCAGAGTAGTTGCCAAAAACCCTTTTTTTTTTTTTTTTTAAAGACAGAATCTTGCTCTGTTGCCCAGGCTGGAGAGCAATGGCACGAGCTTGGTTCACTGCAACCTCCACCTCCCGGGTTCAAGCAATTCTCCTGCCTCAGCCTCCCGAGTATCTGGTATTACAGGCGCCCACCACCATGCCCAGCTAATTTTTGTATTTTTAGTAGAGATGAGGTTTCACCATGTTGGCCAGGCTGGTCTCAAACTCCTGACCTCACGTGATTCACCTGCCTCCGCCTCCCAAAGTGCTGGGATTACAGGCATGAGCTACTGTGCGTGGCCCCAAGAAACTTCCTTAAAGACAGCTGGCATGTGCCCATGGCTACCTCTTCTCCCCTCCTCTCTCCTGCTGGCTGGAATGAGGCCGTCATGGGCCAGAGCTCTGGCAGCCATCTTGAACCAAGAGGTGACCTGAGAAACAGAAACTACACATGGGGGACCAACAGGCAGAAAGGACTCAAGTCCCTAACTCCAATGAGCCATATACTAGTTCTGGACTTTGTTTACTTGAATGAAGTAGGCTGCTGTCTTATTTACACCATTGTTACTTGGGGATTTTCCGTTACTCACAGTTGACCCTAATCCTAATACATCTCTAAGTTACAGATGAGGAAACTGAGGCCTCCCCAGCTGGAAACATAGCCTCCTCTTTGACTCCTCTCACCCTGGTTCTCCACAGCCCAAATGGTGAGTCTTCATTTCTCATGCTGCCCATCAATTCCTACCCTCAATCCCCTGCCTCCATGAGAACAGGGCCAGGGCTGACACCCAGCGGGTGAGCACCAGCACAGCCCTCTCCACAGTTTAGAGCTGGCATCTGTTCTGACTCCTCAGTGCCAGAGCTAAGCCCACTGTTACACATTCTCATCACCAACCCTATCTGTGACCACTACAAAGACAGACAAACACCTACATCCCTCCTTGTAAATCAATCAACTGATGATTGCCGGAGACCTAAAATGCTTTTAGAAAAGCCCCACACTCACCATGGTTGTCAATAACGTGTCTTCCTTTTCTCCTCTTGTGCTCCCAGGACCTGAGAGACAAATGGAAATTTCCTGAAATGACCCCTCCACGTGTCCACAGCATAAGGATGAGTGACTGGGGCAGGCTTCAACCTGGAAAACCAACTCTCCTGGGTGCTTAAATATTTAATAATAATTGGTATTCGATATTTTAATAGAAGGAAGGCATTTAAAAGGTATATTGGAGCATGTTTTCAGCTTTTCCATAAACCACTGCCGTACTGAGTCAGACAGTGGTGCCCCCAGCTCAATAGTCTGTCTCAGACAGTGGTGCCAAAGTAGCTAATCTGGTCATGGGGAATCTGACTGTTAGAAGGGATCTTATCTATGTTCCAGTCAGTATGGGAATCTCCTTCAGCAAACTGACAAAGTTATCCAAGCTGTTGAATACCTTGAGTGACGGGGAGCTCACTACTCACACCCTCCCAGTAACTCATTTTATTTCAAGATGCTTTCAGTGTCATAGACCAATCACATTTCAGAGGTGGGGAAAACCACCTATCAAAGGCAAGAGAGAGGACGACTCCCTGTCGTCCCTCAGCAGGGAGTGTGGGACAGGAACCTGGGCCTCTTGCCACTGGCCAGCACCTTCTCATTCTATCACACTCTTGGTGGTTGTGTCCCTGCCTAAGTATCTTTTCCACCAGACCAGCCTCTATGCTCCAGTGTCCCATTCCAACATCATCTTACCCCTGACAGCAACCCAGGAGGTAGGATGAAGGGCAGAGGGTACAGGCTCAGACCATTCCAAAAATTCTACTGCACATGCAGACTTTTCTCACCATTGTCTTTGGTCACAGGGGCCGCATCAGGGAGTGCAGAGCGGCTTGTCTTGTCCTGGGGGGCAGCCCTCATTGTGGAGTCCAGAGCTGGCTCAGGCTCGTCAGAGAAAGGCAAAGGCTGGTTGCTGGACAGCCCACGGGGCAGCGTCTGCATCAGTTTGAGCTTTCGGAACCGATTGGACATTCGGTTCCACCAGGACTGCCAAAGGAACGCAGAGCAGAAGTCATGCTCCAGGAAGGGCAAGGAGACCAGGCCCAGGACCTGCCAGCCCAGAGACAGTGACTACATTCACATGTGCCTGCCCTCCCCTCTCCTGGGGCCCAGACAGACATTACTGATCAATGATAGCACCCATTCCCAATAAGCCATGGTTACTCACTAAATCTTTCCTGACCCAGCCCTTAGGCAGTCACTTCCAATAGCCTGGAGGTGGCAGTGAACCCTATTTGCCACCCCTCATCTAATCAATCTCCTCATTGCACAGATTGAGAAATGGAGACCCAGACAGGATTGCTGACTTGCTTGAGGTCTTACAGTGAGACAGGGACAGATGGACACAGAGGCAGCTCCAGATTCCTAAGCGTCTACAATAGCATAATCTCCCTCCTCCTGCTCTGGTGATAACGTGAGAGGCATCAGGATCTCTATACCAGGGCCTGGGCCAGCTGCTCCTATAGCTGAGCCTCACCTAGAGAGGACAGGCACTACCTCCTGGGAACGCTTGTAACCCATGACCACTCAGAGGTTAATGAACAGCCACGAAGGGCATCTGTGAGGGCCTGCCTGTGGAAATGGCAGTAAGAGCAGGAATGAAGGGAGCTATGAGAACAACACAGTCAGGAAGGATGCAGAGCTTGAGCCAGCAATGGACACAAAAGGAGCGCCGAGTCTGCAGCCCTCAGAAGGCGCTACCACCCCATGCAGACTGGGGAGGTCAGCAGACAAGACCAGTGTGTTGTTTTGTTTTCTCAGGCATAAAGTAAGTTTGATTTCAAACAAGTAGAGCAGGATGTGGAAGATGAGAAATCCAAAGAGAAAGTCTCAGCTTGCAGTTACAAGCAGCCACCAGAGCTTGTTTCTGGTGTTTCCAGGAAGCTGGCAGGGCCTGTGGACTGCAGGGAGACCCCAGAGTGGCATGATCAGCAAATATCCTGCACAGTAAAGCAGAGGCTGCAAACGGATTCCTTGGGAAGAGAAGTGTTTGCTTTGGCCAGCTCAGTACTACATCATGCAGAATTTTCTAAAATTCCCTGTACTTATAAATTAAGATTCCATATCAAAATCTGGATTTCTATTTTTTCCTTTAAAAAAAAAAGAGAGAGAGATCTAGTAATATGGACCCACATTCCTTTTTGAGACAAGTTCTTGTTCTGTCGCCCAGGCTGGAGTGCAGTGACGTGATCTCAGCTCACTGCAACCACAGCCTACCAGGCTCAAGCTTTTTTCTTTTTTTTTGAGACGGAGTTTCGCTCTGTCGCCCAGGCTGGAGTGCAGTGGCGCGATCTCGACTCACTGCAAGCTCCGCCTCCCGGGTTCACGCCATTCTCCTGCCTCAGCCTCCCGTGTAGCTGGGACTACAGGCGTGCGCCACCATGCCCGGCTAATTTTTGTATTTTTAGTAGAGACGGGGTTTCACCGTGTTAGCCAGGATGGTCTCAATCTCCTGACCTCGTGATCCGCCCGTCTTGGCCTCTCAAAGTGCTGGGATTACAGGCGTGAGCCACCGTGCCCGGCCGCGTGGACCCACATTCTTACAAAGCAGCCACTGTTGCCACAACATGGTCACAGTCTCCCCAGTTTTTCCTGGTCCCCTTTGTTTCCTATTGCTCAATGCCAGCTCACCTGCCACCCCTGCAGGGACTCCCTAGCATAAACCAGCCTGGGTGCATAGGAGGCAGCAGGCTCCCCGCCAGCCCCCATCTCCCTAGCCCCCAAGCCCCTTTAAGACAGGAAAAGGCAAACCTTCAGTCCACCCTTGTCATCGGGCAGCACTGGGATGCTCCAGGGCTGTCGGACCTTCGAGTGGGGCAGGGGAGGCTGGTGGCTCGGCCGGCCTTTGTCTTTATTCACCTGCATGCAGACAGATGCCAGCAGTCGAACAAGTTCCGTGTCTATGGACACAAAAGGCATCATTTTACCTGCAAATATGTCTGTTGGGCCATAAGGAGAAGACTCAAGATGACCCCTGTTAGACTTAGAACTCAGCCCTGCAGCTCCAGGGTCTGTGTAATTCCAGAATCAAGGCACCTGCCTCTCCATCTGATCTTCAAAAGGTGGCAAACAAAGCCAGCAGGGCTTAACCTACTTAACCAGAAAGAAAAACCGGAAGTCCTCTCTCATGAGGAAGGCAGGGGGACAGTGTGTTTAAAAGTGCAGGCTTCACAGCCAGGCTGCAGAGGTTCAGATTCTGCTTCTGTCCCTCCCTGGCTGTGTAACTGCAGGTAAATTACAAAGCCTCTTTGTGCGTCTGTACAAGTCAGTGACATTAATACCCACCACATAAAGGTATCTTATCAATTCACGGGAATTCCTTTAGAGCAATACAAGTGCTTTAAAAATACTAAGTATTATGAAGTTATTAGGAACCCAACTCAGTTATATAAAAAAAGCATTGCAAAAAAGATTGAGAAGAAACTACTCCAAACTATTAACAATGCTTTTTCTTGATGACTATTTCTTTTTTTTTTTTTTTGGAGACAGAGTCTTGCTCTGTCACCCAGGCTGGAGTGCAGTGGCACAATCTTGGCTCACCGCAACCTCCACCTCCTAGGTTCAAGCGGTTCTTTGCCTCAGCCTCCCATGTAGCTGGGGCTACAGTGCCCGCCATCATGCCTGGCTAATTTTTGTATTTTTAGTAGAGATGGGGTTTCGTCATGTTGGCCAGGCTGGTCTCGAACCCCTGGCCTCAAGTGATCGACCCACCTCAGCCTCCCAAAGTGCTGGGATTATGGGCGTGAGCCATCCACGCCAGGTTATTTCTTTTTTCTCTCCAAGTATTCAATAATAGGCATGAGTTTCTTCAAAAGTTTTGTGTAAACACTTCATTTAAAAACCCAGTAGGCAAAATATTCCTAGGAATAGACTGTTTTATTGGGAAAGGGAATAAACGGCAGTGGAGGCTAGGGAGAAGAGGAACACTGAAAAGATGAGTTTCTCAGAAAAAGTGTGTATGAGATCCAGCGAGAGTGGCTGCGGACTGATTCCGAATAACAAACTCTTGGCAAGTGAAGAAGGTCTCCAATGAGGTGGAGTAGGATCACTGGACTTGGGGCACAGGACTCCAACCCTCTGGCTGGGACAGATCACTTCCCGAGTCTTGGCGACCTCATCTCTTCAAGAGGATGTGAACCTCTGCTTCCCCTCTCAGACCTCTTTGAGGGTCAAACAGAACCAAGTGTGCATCTGTGAAGTGCAGGGGCCTGCAGCAGGGAAGGGGTGGCAAGGGTGGCAGTGCTGTGACGAGGAAGGGCATGCCTGCTGGCTACCCCTCTAGCTAAGAGGGGCAGCAGGTGACTTGTGACTGCAGAGGTGAAAGTCTTCTCTCCCCACAGCCAACAGCTAGAATCCCAGCACAGGGTTCAAGCCCAGTGGGTCAGAAGGGCCTCGGGGCTTCTCTCTCTCTGGGTTGAAACTCCAGGTTGATAAGAAAGACGACAGATCAGAGACCTTTCCCCTTGAGCTGGCTAACTGGAAGCCCAGGTCCCAAAAGAGGGTCTGTCACAGCAGGGGAGGGTCAAAGGGGAGTAGCAGGTACCAGCCGAGGCCAAAATGGGGTGGAACTAACGGCTACATTCCCAGTACACGACCCTTGACCCTGCAGCCTCTACCTACACAATTAAGCTGAGAAGGCCATCGCTCTATCTCCCATTCTGCTTATCAAAGGGGACTTTATGTTTCCACCTGAGTGACTCAGGATTTCTGGCTGTGAAGCACAGATGCCATTCTAGGGTGTGTGTGGACTGCAAAGTCAGACACGTCTTATTTTCCTTCCCTCTCTAGAGACTCCTAGGAGGTTGGTGCTGGAGGAAGTCCCCGGGGCCACCTGGTCCAAGTCCAGCGCTTCACTGGGGAGGGAAGGAACTTGCCTAAGATCATGCAGTAAGCTCCTGACACTTGAGAGTGACTTTCCCCCACGAATAAGCAAGTGCTTAAAACACAAGTCACAGAGGAGGTGCCTGTCTTGACTCCCAGTCCAAGAAACGCTGGGTAGATTTACAACCCTTTTCTTGAAATTACCTACCGGGATCATTCAGCAGCATCACCAGGTCAAAGGCCGTGTATCCATTTTTTGCACGAAGAGTGACATCGGCCCCTTGGTTTAGCAGATATTTCACAATTTCCTTATTCCTGGGAAAAAATGCTAGAGTTACATTCACTGAAAGCAAAGGCATGGCTTTGCTCCTGGGCAACAAAACCAACATTAACTACAAAGCTCAGTCTCTGAGCATTTAAGAAGGACATGGAAGGGCAAACAGTCTCACATTCTCTCATTCCCTAGCACGTGGGCAGGTCAAGCGGGAACATGATTTAAATCAAAGTCTAAGTGTTCCTTCCAGGAACAAAATGAAGACTGAGGCTAGATGTGGTGGCTCACACCCGTAATCCCATCACTTTGGGAAGCCAAGGTGGGAGGATCACTTGAGCCCAGGAATTTGAGACCAGCCTGGGCAACATGGGGGGCCCTGTCTCTACTAAAAATTTTGTTTAAAAATTAGCTAGGTGTGGTGGTGCAAGTCTGTAGTTCCAGCTACTTGAGAGACTGAGGTTGGAGGATGCTTGAGTCTGGGAGGTCAAGGCAGCAGTGAGCCATGATCACGCTACTGCACTCCAGTCTGGCAACAAAGTGAGATACTGTTGGAAAGAAAAGAAAAGAAAAGAGAAGGGAAGGAAAAGGAAGGGGAGGGGAGGGGAGGGGGAGGGGAGAGGAGACAAAACCAACAGCTCTGCCCAAAAATCACTGACCCCATGGAGACTCCACTTCTTCCACCCTAAATCAGGACATCTCCATTGGGAAAGTCTCCTACAGACCAAGGTGTCTGAAATAAAATTTCGTCTTGGAATTCAAGACTCATCGAATAAGAAAACAAACTGTTTTCAGATGACACAGGAAAGTGATCTGATCACCTAAAAGAGGGCAAGGAAAGAACCTCTAACTGGGAGTCAGATCACTTAGCAGCTACAAGATGCCCACCCCAAAGACGAGGCCTCCAGGAGGATGACAGCCCATCCTGCTGGGATGATCACATAAGAAGGGGTTCATAAGCACCCTGTAAACACTGAAGCCTATTCAAAAGGAGAGGGGTAGGACACATCTCACCATCAATCATCACAAGACGACAATGGTATGAATAACCAATGTTTACTTCATACAGGAGCTACTTAAGGAGGTCACTATATCTCAATGTGAAAACTCCAATGAATCAGTCACTGTGTTCAACTGAAACCAACCTAGAGAACCTTATCTCTCTGCATAAAATGCTCCTGCTGCATGGTTTTTCAGGGCCATTGTGAAATTCTGTGATGGGGGAACAGGAAATCTGGACACAGAAGGGTGGGACTAAAATGAGCCTGTGCCGCTTTTTTTTTTTTTTTCCATGCCTCAATGTCGTCATAGTCCTGGGGTTTGTATGCAGCATCTCAGGACCAGAAGAGCCCATTGGGAACCTCCATCTCAGGCCAGAGCATCTGTCTGGCCTTGTCGCTGAGGGCGTGGGGCTGGCACTGACCCATGGTAGGTTGCCTGCATGAGGGCCGTCCAGCCATGCACGCTGTCCTGCTTGTCAACATCCGCGTGCCTCTCCACCAGCAGCTGCACCAGAGCCAGCTGCCCCGTAACAGCTGCTAGCATCAGTGGCGTCGCCCCGTCCCCATTGACCAAGTTCACGTGGCTGGGGTCTTCATCGGCAATCTCTTTGACCAGCTGGAAGTTTCCTGCAAACACAAGCAGGAGTCCGGGTGAACTGTGGGCCTGGTACCATAGGCTGATTTCTCCTGTGGTTCATGTAACAAACACTTGCTGGCCCTGCTCTGCCTCTGCAGTGGGCTGCTGGGCATCATAGGGGATACTAAGAGGGCGTCAGAGATAGCCCCGACTCTTAAATGCCTCAGTCTAGGCGAGACAGAGACAAACACACGAATGGGCAGAAGTGTTACCAAAAGACAGAAGTGTTGTTAGTGTCTTCAGAGAACGGATGAAGGAGACAGAAGAAGACAGAAGGAGAGTTCAGGTCTCGCTGCGGGGTGAGGATCGGGAAGGGCTTCCTGGAAGCAGGGTCTATATCAAGAGAGAAAATTTTAGGCTAAATGCCTCTTTGTCACAAAGAGACTGGAGTGGGTATGCAGAGAGGCATTTCAGATGCAGGAAGAGCTAGGGCATAGCTAGACAGTGTTTGGCTGGAGTGGGGCTGGAGGCCGTCTGGAGTCTATGTGTAGAGCTCTACAATAAATACTGGCCTCCAGGATCTGAACTTCCAAACACCAAACACCAAAATGCCTGTTTCTTTCTCAAATACCCTGGGTGGCCCTGCAAAGGACTACAAATATTAGGTTGGGAGAATGTAGCCCTATATTCTTAAATATCCAAAAAGATTTTCTAAAGCGCTTACCCATTTTCAATGCATGGAAAATATCAGGTCGCCTTTTCTCCTCATCTGGGTAAACAAAGATTTTTAAAGTTAACCACGGAAAGGTTTAATATAACAGAAAAGTCACAAGGGTGTAACAACACAGCCTGGCTTTAAAAAGCATCTAATTCTCAAAAGCAATCTAATTGGAGACCTACGTAATGGACAAATCCAGCAGCTCTTCTGGAAGGTTTATTACCCAAGAACATCTGAAAACACTTCAGAGACAGATCTTGCCAACAAAACACGAATGAGCAGCAGATCACGGCCCTGATCTCATGCAAATAAAGCAATCATTTTTAGGCAAAACAAACGTTGGCATATCCTTTCTTAGATATACTGAAAAGTCTTGGGGTCTTAGAAAATCCTGGATTCCCATGGACATTGTTTAAAAATTTTTTTTCTTCTAAAAACTAAATGTACAATCATAATTCCAAATCAGAGGACCCCTGAGATATCGAGCAGCTGAGCTCTAAGGAAGTTCACAGCCACAGCCAACAGAAGAGCCAATGCTCATATTTTCTTTCCCTCCCATGTAAGAAGCAATCAGAACATGCTCCCTCCTCCAAACCTGCAGACACAGCTGGCCAAAAGCCGCTGCCCAACTGGGCATCTTCATGCTGTACCCTGAAGCCCAGCTGCTAGGCTGGGGCCGGACCCCATGCCTACCTGCACAGCTGAGCCTTGCTGCAGCCGCCAGATGTTAGCCCCTCCCTCACATGCTCATCCCACACCTTCCTCCAAGCTTGGGCCAGCAGGTACCCCATTCCTGTCAGAGCAGGCATCCTCATGGCCAGTCTGCTTGCTGGGGGGCTGAAGGCAGGCCTTCTGCAGCCTTTAATTGATCCCAGGGGATGGAGCAGCTGCCAGAGGGCACTTGTGACTCTGGGCTGACTCTGGTCGAAATGAGCCCTCTTGAGTAACTGGGAGGAAGCTGCAGCCCAGGACAAGGAGCACAGAGTGTGGAGTCAGTGCACGTGAATTTCAGCGCACATTTTTAGAGTAAGCTGCCTCTTCATCACAAATGTGGGGATAGCATCCCTCTCACCTGGCTGTTGCAGGGATCAAATGATAATGTTAAGGCGCCATTCAAAGAGCAATTACTTTCTTTAGCAACCAGCAAGGTAAACCCCAGAATTCTTTTTTTGAGATGGAGTCTCGCTCTGTCACCCAGGCTGGAGTGCAGTGGCGTGATCTTGGCTCACTGCAACCTCTGCCTCCTGGGTTCAAGTGACTCTTGTGCCTCAGCCTCCCGAGTAGCTGGGATGACAGGCACACGCCACTACACCCAGCTAATTTTTGTATTTTTAGTAGAGACGGGGTTTTGCCATGTTGGCCAGGCTGGTCTCAAACTCCTGACCTCAAGTGATCTGCTCGCCTTGGCCTCCCAAACTGCTGAGATTGCAGGTGTGAGCCACCGCTCCAGGCCGGAACTCCAGAATTGTTTTTTTTTTTTTTTTGAGATGGAGTCTTGCTGTGTCTCCCAGGCTAGAGGGCAGTGGTGAGATCTAGGCTCACTGCAACCTCTGCCTCCCGGGTTCAAGCGATTCTCCTGCCTCTGCTTCCAGAACAGCTGGGATTACAGGCACCCACCACCGCATCTGGCTAATTTTTGTATTTTTAGTAGAGATGGGGTTTCACCATCTTGGCCAGGTTGGTCTCGAACTCCTGACCTCGTGATTCACCCACCTCCGCCTCCCAAAGTGCTGGGATTACAGGCGTGAGCCACCACACCTGGCCAGAATCCCAGAATTCTTCATGGAAAGTACGGACACTGCCATGGGACACAGTATATCAATTTTGCCTGTGAAATACTATCAAGAAACTATTCTGCACCTGACTTTTAAAAAAAATATGTCATGTTCTTTCAAGTATTCAAGAACCAACTTTGCTGTGGGGTGGGGTCTTCTCATGCCAAGACCTTTTCACAGAAAAGAGTGTCACCTGGTCTTAGTGTTGGCTGCTAAGCAACCATCTGACACAAGTTAATCACTGACAGCAGAGCCTGGCCCCAAGAGGCAGGGGCAGCTGTGTCCTGACACCCAGTGACTCTGGGCAGGTCCCTTCCTCGCTTTGGGCTTCAGTTTTTTTCGTCTATATCCAAGCAGTCCCAGGGACCCTGCCCCAACCCAAGGAAAAGAAATCAGCTCCAACTCCACACCACAACCTCAGTGGGGAGTCAGAGGTGTCGCAATGACAGTTACAGCATCAAAAGTACCCTGTCCTGCTGCTAATGAAAGGCAGAGACCAGGGGACCTCCAAGGCCTTGGTGGGGGCTGGATTTCCGGGAACTGCACAGTAAGAGCTGGGGCTCCTATTATTTATTTCATAATCTGTCATTATCAATAGCACAGCCTGCACCCTACCTGGGGCTCTTCCCAGGGATCCCCCAGGGCCAACACACTCCCTCAGGTCCTGCATGTCTGCTGCAGTCCCACCTTCTCAAGGTTGCCCAACCACTCCATTTGACACAGCAGGATGAATTGTCCCAGCTTTGCCACACCCAACCTCTTTACACTGCCCTTTTTTTTTTTTTTTTAACCCTGTGGCACTTACCACCTATCCTACTATATATTTAATATGCTTATTTCCTACTGACTGCCTGTCTCCCCTTATCAAGGCCAAGGTCCTCAAGGTCAGGGATTTGGATCTCATTTGTTCACTGATGTATCCAAAGTGCCTAGAAAGGTGCCTGATACATAGCAGGCCTCAGTACGTCTTTGTAAAGTATCGGAATGAATGTATCATCAATCAAAACATAATAGTTTCCATTTATTGGATGTCGTCTATGTGCCAGGGCACTGCGATGAAAATTTTACAGGCCTGATCTTACTATTCCTCACAAAAATCTCCCAAGAAAAGAGCCTTTATTATGACTATCTTATGAAAAAAGACACTGTAGTCCTGCAGGGCCAATTAAGATGACCAAGACCACCCAGGTACAGAGTGGGAGAACTGAGCCTCAGACTAGTTCTGCTCAATGGGAACATGACCAGATCCTGCTGGAAGACCCGAGGTTCGCTCCTGTCAAATAACGCCGACAACACTATGGAGTAATCCACTTCCCATGTGCTCCCTCTGGGCCAGGCAGGATCTCACATGAACCCCACAGCAGCCCTGAGGCGGGTATCACTCCAGCACCCATTTGTGGAGAAGGAAATGGGAGCTTGGTGAACTGAGGCAGCTGGTTCAAGGTCCCTTGGCCAGCAGGGGCACAGCCAGCATCGAACCAAGTGGACAGTGACCTTGGCCACATCCACCAATGTGTCTGAGCCACTGCATCTTGGGGAAATGAGGGCATCGCCATCCCATGATGCCAGGACAACCCCTAAAATGAGGCCTGTCAGAAGCTAAGCCCGAGGGCACTCCGTGAAGATTCAAGATGCAGAGGCTAAGGAAACCTGGGATGGAGAACGCATGCACAACAGAAGAGGCACAGCTCGGCAGGCACGGGCAGGTGCAAGTTCTGGAGTGTTCACTTCTGAGCCTGAATTCCCTCCCCTGCAAAATGGGGGAATACCCTCCTCAGAGGGTCCCTGCGAGGGTGAGGGGAGATTCAGCATGGCAGGTGTGCTGGGCACGGCAGGGCCTGGGAAGGGCAGATCCTTTCCCCATCCCTGCCACAAACAACCCAAACCTTTAAAGGAGAGCAATGGCCTTGTGTCAAAAACAAAAACAAAACAAAACCCTGTCCTAGGAGACTGGGGCCCTAATTTCTAATAGCAAGCCTTTATGAGTCCCTAACACTCTACTGGGCTGAGTATCTCACACGCCAGAGGATAACCTGCCTTCTGCTCACCACCACCCCGTAGTAGTTGTCATTGTGTCCATTTCACAGATGAGGCAAAGGCTCAGAAGAGTCATGTGTTAAACCAGCTTCTAGAGCCCATGCAGGAGCTGCAGGTGGGAGAATCACCTCTAGGTGCTCTTCCCATGGAATCCTCACCTCCTGAGTGTCACTCACTCAGCTTCCAATGGGTGTGTGACCTTTGACCAGCTTTCTTCCCTCTCTGGGCCTCAGTTTCCCACCTGGACAAAGTAAGAGGTCTCTTGGCTTCAGGTAGTTCTTCCTAAACTTCTTTTTCCTTTTCATTTGAGCATCCTCTTCATTTTTGCCACCTCTCTGTCATTACAGGCTTTTAAAACATGTTTATTTCAGACTTGTTCTGATTGGATGGTGTATTTCTTTTTTTTTTTTTTTGGAGAGTGTATTTCTAATAAGCATTTACCAAATTTTCAGCATCTCTTGATTGATGGGGCTATTCTATATTCTTTCAATGGTAACAAACTTAACACTTTCAGGTCTTTTTAGCCAATGTGCCTGAAGCTACTTTCTTCAGTGCTTGACCTCTCAGAGCTAGATGTTTATATACACTGCAGCCCACCTACTGTTACTCCCTGGCTGTGAGTCCTGCCGTCGAAGTCAGGCCTTTTACATAGACAGAGGGTACCAAGGCTGTGTGTTGCGATCTTATTGCAAACCGTGCATTAAAGGTTTTGAAACGTGGTATGTCCTATGGCAGATTTGCTAAGGATTGTTTAGACAACTCTTTACATGCCAGAGAGATGGCAAGAAGTTAAAAAAAAAAAAAAAAAAAAGATGCACTGCTAGATGTTTTTTAAAAAACTAATTTTCATCAATTTTACATGAACTAGTGTTTGAGAAATGATCAGGGCAGAGGAGGTCAGGCACACTATTGTAGAACAAGGGCTGGCAAACTATAGCCCATGGCTCAAATATATCCCACTGCTTGTTTTTGTAGTTATAATTTATTGGAACCTAGCCATACCTGACTCATTTACATATTATATGCATAGCCACACCCATTCATTTACTCATTACATATGTAAGGCTGCTTTCACTCTAGCAGAAGTGACTACTGTAGTTTTAACAGAGACTGTATGGTCCATACAGTCTATTTGGCCTTTTACAGAAAAAGTTTGCCAAACCTTGTTGTAGAAGGGCCCCAGAACCACCTGCATCAGAATGATGTGCTTGGGGAGAGCAGCCTTGTTATAGAGGCTTCCAGGCTCTTGCCCAGGGCTACCAAATCACTCTGCAGAGAGTGGGCCCAGAACCTGCATGTCACAGGCAATCCCCCCGATACTTAAGCACACCACTTCCTCAGTCTCAGTGGTCTGCAGGGCTGGACTCTGAGTTCTGCGTGTCCTTCCAGTAGAGCAATCCTCAGCTTAAGCCACATAAACACAATTTGGGGTCCTCTGTGAAGCCACGGGGGGCATGCAGCCTGACCTGTTTTGGGCCTGACGGTGGTCAGCGGGTCCAGGTAGTCTACAAGGTCCCTGTGCTTGCAGTCCAGTGCAACCTCGAAGGCGGTCTTCTCCAGCACGCTGAGGTGGTCAGGGTTGGCGCCCTTCTCCACCAGCTGCTGGGCCACTCCAAGCCGCCCAGTGAGTGCGGCCAGCATCAGCGGGCTCCAGCCCACGGTCCGGGCTGCGTGGTTGGGGTCCGCGCCCCACTCCATCAGTAGACGCACCACGGCCTCGTGCCCGTGCTGGATGGCAGCCATCAGGGCTGTGATGTCCAAGGGCTCATCCCTGCTGCCGCCCAACCCCAGTTGCTCGCCTGAAGGGTGGTGATGGTCCACAAAGGCACCGGCTTCCAGGAGCAGCTTCACCACACCCAGGTGGCCGCCCCGAGAAGCCACAGTGAGCACACTGGCCCCCAGCCGGTTCTGGGCATTGACATCAGCCCCGTGATCCAACAGGAGGTGTGCCACACTCACATGCCCAAATCTGCCAGGAAGATGGAGAATTAGTGACACTGAACACACAGCACTCGGGGGCCAGCTTATGTCATCCTTAATTGGCATGAATTATTAGTCCTGACAGCTGCTCATGATAAGAGGTCTTATTCTGGCGCCAGGCACTGTGCCAGCCACATGGATGCAGATGCATCATCATGAAGGTGAGCAGCTGCCCTGCCTGGGTTCAAATCCAGCTCTCCCCACCACCAGCTGCATGACCTTTAGGAAGAACTTTGATTTCTTTGTGCCTTCATTTCCTGATCTGCAAAATGGGGATATAACTGTACCTACTTCAAGGGTTGTTGGGGATTAAATGAGTTACATGTAAAGCACCTGGCTCTGTGCCTGGCCACAGGAAACATCACATCAATGTTAGCGATTGTTAGGTATTATAATTGTTCATGTTACGTTATTCAACGTGCCAAGGGTTACCCGGCTGGTAAGGGGTGGCATCAGGGTCAGGACAGGTCTGTGTGAATGCCGCTGCCCTTGCTTTTTCTCTTACACCATGCTGCCTCCTACATTTCAGACAGTCGATTTTATTCTGCTTTATAGCCTGGGAATCTGTCTCTCTGCCTGTGCTCTAATTTCCCCACAGGCAGAGCCCATGTCTGATTCATTTCTACCCTCCCCATCCCCAAAAGCACACACCCCATGCCAAGAGGTGTGGCAAGGTTGTGGTCAGCAGATAGGCTGGGCATTGCGGCCTGGAGGCCTGCTGCCACCTGCTGGCAGGAATGTTTGTTGCAGGCGGCTGAGGACCCAGCCTAGGCCAGATCTTCCTCAATGAAGTCACTGCTGGGCCCCTGAAGAGAAAGATCTGCACCCACCAACTTCCTAGTACCAGGAGAAGGAAAACAGGTACCTCTTCCCAGCAAAATCTCTTCCTTCTTTTAACACCAGAGGGCAGAAAAGTTCTGTTTTGTGGTGTCTCTGGTGGGCTCGGAGCTGTGTATCTCCAAGCTGGAAGCGGCCCTGGACTAACAAGAAAACAATGACAAGACAGGGGCTGTCTACTCCAGGTTTTCGAGACCACAAAGCCACTGTCATGTCTGCATCTGTGAGGCAGCTTTCTGGGTTTCTCGATGCTCAGCCCTCCTTCCCGGGAGCCAGTTTTGCACCTCATCTAAACCCAAGACCTCCCTCCTCCTGGCGGCTGGCGGCCAGGCCAGGGCTGAACTCTGTCTGAGGCTCCGGCTGAATACCTTCTGGGATGTGAACCTGAACAGCATGGGGCTACTCAGCCACGAAGCAAGAGCCTGGTGACACAGCTCCATCAGCTGCAGGGGGCTGGGCCTCTTGACCTCCACTCCCAGAGTGGAAAAGGACAAGGCAAATTGAAACCAACTCAATGCAGAAAGCTGCACCCCAATGTCTCCCCGCCTCCAGTCTCGTTCCCTCCTGCCCATCCTCCATGCGACTCCCAAATGATATTCTCCAAACCCAAATCTGTCACTCCCCAGCTTCTGATTGCCGAAGACCTGACTGCTTTGCCAACCTCACTTCCTCCTGCTCCCAAACCACACCTTCCCGCCTTCCCCACACCTTCACCATCCTGACCCCACCAGAGGACTCTCCTGTCCTCATCTACTCAGCACACCCCCACCGTGTCCTGCTTCAGGAGTCATATCTCACCCACTCTGAGCAGCTTCCAGACCACCCCTCAACCAGGCTAGGTCAGTGCCCCTCTTCTGAGCACCTAATTCCACGGGCTCGCCTCTGGCTGCACGTGAGCCCTCTTTCCCTAATTGTCTCTCCTATTCAGTGGCAGGCTCTCCAAGGACAGGACAGGGTTCCACGCATATTGTTTCCCCAGCCCCTACCATAGTGGCTGATCCACATCGGAGCTCAGTAAATTTGGTCAAACAAGCCAAGTAAATGAATGCATAAATGGCATAACCACATAGGGGAAGGTCCAGAGGTGAGCAGTGGAAATCCCTGAAGAACTGGTGTATCCTCCACTGTAGTACATTTCTAAAAGATTACACTATTTAGTTATCAAGCATGAGATAAAATCTAGCATAATCCCTAACAGCAGATTACAAGGTGCGTCACATTTTTATCTCATTTGATCTTAATAAACCCCGAGATAAACTCACAGATTAGGAAACTGAAGATTACAGTGGAAAGCAATTAATCTAAAGCCTCTCAATTTGAACGTGATAGAGTCAAAAGTTGCACCTGGACTCAAAATCGAAGCTCCAGTATAACCAATTTTTAAGGAGGAAGAAAAGGGGTGAATTAGAGCAGAAATAGTGAAATTTGGAATGTTTTCTGAATTAGTGAGTAGCCCAAGAGAGCACTCAACTATGCTGAAAATATAAAAGGATCCAAGCAAGGCTGAGATAATGTTGTGGATGCTAAGTTTCTAATAGGTAACTGCCGGAGATGGGCATGCTAGGGGCTTTCTGAACAGGTGCTGTGATTACTGATGAATTTCAGCAATTAACACCTGTGTTTAAAGAGCTGGCACACATTTTCCCCTCTCAAAGCACTGGGCTGAGAGTCCAGCTCTGCCCCACTGGCAGGCAGGAAATGAAGGGTAGGGAAGGAAGGTAAACACTATGCAACCCTGTCCCTTGGAGAGAAGTCTCTGGCAAATTTGGCAAGCCGCTTCCAGGCACCAACACCAAGAGGGAAACTATCAGTTACAGGATTCATGGCTGGGAGCACAGGCTCTGGAGCCACCTCCCTAGGTGTGAATCTGACTCGCCACTTGGTAGCTATGTTACTTGAGCAAGTTATTTAACTTCTCTGTTCCTCAATTCCTCATTTATGAAATGAGGATGACAATAGTACCTCCTTCCTAAGGTTTTGTATGGATTGAATGACTTAATTCATTTAAAGCACTTAGCACAGTGCTTGACAGAAAGTCAGTGCTCAATAAAGGTTGTTTTTTGTTTTGTTTTGTTCTGGTTTTTTGAGATGGAGTCTCGCTCTGTCGCCAGGCTGGAGTGCAGTGGCGCGATCTCAGCTTACTGCAACCTCCGCCTCCCAGGTTCAAGCGATTCTCCTGCCTCAGCCTCCCGAGTAGCTGGGACTACAGGTGCGTGCCACCATGCCCGTGCCACCACGCCCAGCTAATTTTTGTATTTTTAGTAGAGACAGGGTTTCACTATGTTGGCCAGGCTGGTCTCGATCTCCTGACCTCCTGATCTGCCCGCCTCGGCCTCCCAAAGTGCTGGGATTACAGGCGTGAGCCACCGCACCTGGCCAAAGGTTACCTATTATTTTAAGAACATGAAAAAACATGCCCCAGCGCGGTGGCTCACGCCTGTAATCGCAGCACTTTGGGAGGCCGAGGTGGGCGTTTCACGAAATCAGGAGATTGAGACCAGCCTGGCCAACACAGTGAAACCCGGTCTCTACTAAAAATACAAAAAGTAGCTGGGCGTGGTGGCACGTGACTGTAATCCCAGCTACTCCGGAGGCTGAGACAGGAGAATCGCTTGAACCCAGGAGGCGGAGGTTGCAGTGAGTCGAGATCACGCCACTGCACTCCAGCCTGGTGACAGAGCGAGACTCCGTCTCAAAAAAAAAAAAAAAAAGAACAGGAAAAAACACTAAGGTCACCATTTCTAATACTAAAACACCCACAAAAGACCAAAGGCACAGGGTGTCTAATAGTCTGGCCTGATCCACACAGAGAGCTGGGACGATAAATAGATGCTTGCTCAGACCCAGCGTGGTGGCTGCCAGGGGTGTGGTTTTGAGCAGGATTCTGGGGGCGTATCCAGATCCAAGGAAGAAGAGCACAAGGCTGGAAGGTGTCAGCACACAGGCCATTCATTTGCCTACCCCGATGTGAGGGACAGACACACTGTACATCCTTCTGGAAGTCTTCCATATATACTACTCCTCAACTTGACCTTTTCTTATGAATTACGCAGCAGAAAGCTGGAGCACAACTCAACACAGGCAGAGATGCTACCTGAATATAGAGTCGGTGTCACACCAACTGAGGAACAGCACATTTTAAAATACCCAGGCTCAAGACTATCCTGCAGAACTTGGTTAAAACTGATGATCTGGGGTCTCTGAGACACTCTGAGGCATGTCAGTGCTGTAGTCACAAACCTCACTCAGTAAATTCCTCAGGGGGCTCACCAGGGCCCCTGTGCACGCACTTGGTGGATTGCAGAGATGAGACACACATAACACATCAGTGGCTCCCAAACCTACCATACAAGAGAATCACTGGGGAGCCTCTTCTCACACAGAGTCCCTGTCTCTTACTCCCCTCACTGCCCTGGGCCTTCTAAATCACAATCTCCAGAAAAGGAACTCAGGAATCTGCACTTAGACAAGCATCCTGGTGATTCTGATGTGTGGCCAGGTTTGGGTACTGAGGAAGCCAGTCAGCATTAACATGGTGTGATGGATGCTACCACAGAGGCCTTTCTGCTGCGGAGGGACCAGAGAACAGGGAGATATCATGGCAGGCTTCACAGAAGCCAGATCTCTAGATGCCATCCTTGCTGTCTCTCTTAACCCCTCCCCAAGGGCCAGTCGTCAACTCCTGCTGATCTACTCCCTGAATATATCACAAATTCATCTGGGTGCCCTCCCTCCGCTGTCTCCATTCTGGTCTAGGCCACCATCACCTCTCACTCAGACTGCAGCAAACTCTACCTAACCAGCCTTTTTGACTCTAGCTTACCCTAGAGTATCTAATCTATTCTCACACTTCAAGGAAAGTAATTTTTCCAAAACGTAACTCTCATCCTGTCACTCATTCTGCCTAGAACCTTCCATGACTCCCTAGCACCTTCCATGACTCCCTAGCACCCTAGGATAGCTAGCGTTTCTCAGCTCCCACACTCCCCCAACTCCCTGGCATCTGCCTTCTCTCCAGGGAGGACTAGTACATCATTCTACTCATACATTCTACGCATACCTCATTCTACCAGTCCTACCAGCTCGTGCACCCAAGCCTTTGCATGGGCCTCCCATCATGCCTTCCCACAGCCCACTTGTAATGTCCTGGCTAATTCTCAGGTATCCGCAGGTCTCCACGTGGATATAAACATCTTTTCTACCAGAAACCTTCCCCCACGTCTCCAAAATGGGTCACCTGCCCCACAGCTACTCAAACCTTTCCGGTCAAGCTCGTTCCTTTGCCTGGCCTGCCCACCAATGCCCTGGGTGGGGACTCTGCCTGGGTCTCGCAGCACCCTCAACGCCAAGCCAGGAAGGGAAGGCAGGTTCTGAGGAAACTCTTACTGCAATAAGAAATGAATTAAATCTCTAAGGTTCTAAGTCTCTACAATTCTATTCGCTGTCTCCAGATTCTATTCTGAAAGGCCAAAATTTCTAAGAATCTGATTTTATGTTAATTCAAAAGTGTTTCCACGTCTATGCTCAAAGTTTACAAAAGACTACTCAAAGTTTACCATTCCAACTCTAAGGAGTCCTTAACTCTTCACCTCCCGGGGCATCCGGCCGCCGGGGACCGCGTCTCGGGCCAGCGCCGGGCACCACTCTGGTCCCGGGCCCCCGGGCCCCGCCGCCTCACCTGGCCGCCTGCATGAGCGCGCTCCAGCCGTAGTGGTTGCGGCTGTTGACCGAGGCACCGCGGCGCAGCAGGAAGCGCACCAGCGGTTCGTGGCCCCCGGCCGCGGCGAACTGCAGTGCGGTGTTGCCCGCCTCGTCCGAGCAATCCACGGGCACCGGAGCCCCGACTGCCCCCGCCGCTGCGGCCCCGGGCCCGGCCACCTCGGCCCCCGCCGGCTCCGCGCCCGCCTCCGGCTCCGCGCCGCGCTCGGCTGGCTCCGCCGCCCCCGGCTCCAGCAGCCGCCGCGCCGTCTCCGTGTCGCCCTGGTCACACGCGCGCAGCAGCAGCTGGAAGGCCGGGGGCAGCCCGCCCTCGCCCATCGCCGCCGCCACGCGCGGCCCGCTCCCGTCCGCCCCGCCGGCCGCGTCGGCTCCGCCCCCGGATACCGCCCGCAGGCGCCCCCTTCCGGCCACCCGCCCGCGCCGCGCGCCTACTGTGTGCCGGGAGCGCGCCGGGGCTAGGGCCGCGCGCCTGCTGTGTGCCGGGAGCGCGCTAGGGCCGGGGCTGCGCACCTCCAGTGCCCGTATTCGGGAGTCCAGGGACGCTCAGAGGAGCGCCCGCCGCAGACCCGCGTGTTCCCTTTTGCCTCTTCGGCGCCCTCTCGCCGCCCTGTCCCGGGGCTCCAGAAACTTCCTGTCAGGGCAGAGGTGGGAGCGGCCACGCCATCCCCTCTTCACGCTGTGGTCAGGGCCCTGGGCCCGGGTCTGAGTCCGCAGCTGCGTGGGCCTTGACTTTACTAGCGGGCTCCGCTGACCCCACCGCAGCCCCTGGCACTGAACCTGCCCTTCTAGAATAAGGAAGCGGCTGAATTAAGGAACGAACGGATTGTTTCCTCACAGTGTCCTGCGGTGCCCTTAATGTCGCTCCTTCATCTGGGCCAGGCTGCTGGGGCTAAAAGCGCCTCCTGTTCTCTCTCTCTCCCCCACCTTTTATTTCAACTATTATTATAGATTAAAGGGTACAGGTTTGTTACATGGGTAAATTGTTACATGGGTAAATTGCGCGACGCTGAAGCTTGTGGTCCCAACGATCCCGTCACCCAGGCAGTAAGCATAATACCCACCAAGAGGTTCTTCAGCCCAGAGTCCCCTCCATCCCTCCCTGGCCTAGCGATCCCCAGCGTTTGTTGTTCCCATCTTTGTGTCCATGTGTACTCAATGTTTAGCTCCCACTTATAAGTGAGAACATGCAGTATTTGGTTTTCTGTTCTTTTTAGGTCGCTTAGGATAATGGCCTCCAGCTTTATCCATGTTGCTGCAAAGGGCATGATTTCGTTCATTCTTATGGCTGCATAGTATTCCGTAGTATTCCATCATATTCTATCGTGTATATGCACCACATTTCTTTCATTCCTTCCCTCTCTTCCCTCCCTCCCTCCCTATCCCCCTTCCTTCCTCCCTCCCTCCCTCCCTTTCTCCCTCTCTCTCTCTCTCTCTCTCTCTCTTTTGACAGGGTCTTGCTCTGTCATCCAGGCTGGAGTGCAATGGTGCAATCTCTACTCACCACAACCTCTGCCTCCCAGGCTCAAGCAATCCTCCCACCTCAGCCTACCGAGTAGCTAGGACTGCAGGCAAGTGCCACCACACCCGGCTAATTTTTTGTATTTTTGGTTGAGAAAGGGTTTTACCATGTTGTCCGGCTGGTCTCAAAGTCCTGAGCTCAAGTGATTCACCTGCTGTGGCCTCCCAAAGTGCCAGGATTACAGGTGTGAGCCATCACATCTGGCTCTGTACCACATGTTCTTTATCCAATCTACTGTTGATGGGCACTTAGGTTGATTCCATACCCTTGCTATTGTAAATGGCACTGCAATGAATATACAGGTGTCTTTTTGATAGAATGAATTATTTTCCTTTGGGTATATACCTGGTAGTAGGTTTGCTGGGTCAAATAGTTCTATTTTAAGTTCTTTGAGAAATCTCCAAACTGCTTTCCACGGTGGCTGAACTAGTTTGCATTCCCACCAACAGTGTATTTTCTCCACAGCCTTAGCAGCACCTATTGTTTTTTGACTTTTTAATAATTGACATTCTGACTGGTGTAGATGATATCTCATTGTGGTTTTGATTTGCATTTCTCTGATGATTAATGATGTTGCGCATTTGTTTCATATGTTTGTTGGCTGCCTGTATGTCTTCTTTTGAGAAGTGTCTGTTCATGCCCTTTGCAGAGACACAACGAAAAAAAGAAAACTTCAGGCCAATATTCCTGAAAAACATAGCTGCAAAAATCCTCAATGACATACTACAAACAGAATCCAGCAGCACATCAAAAAGTCAATTCACCATGATCAAGTAGGCTTTATTTCTGGAATGCAAGGTTGGCTCAACATGCGCAAATCAATACATGTGATTCACCATATAAACAGAATCAAAAACAAAAACCATATAATCATCTCAATAGATGCAGAAAAGGCCTTCAATAAAATCCAACATCCCTTTATAATAAAAATCTTCAAAACAGATTAGGCATTGAAGGAACATACCTCAAAATAATAACAGCCATCTATGACAAACCCATAGCCAACATCATATTAAACAGGCAAAAGCTGGAAGAAGACTCTCACCACTCCTATTCAACATAGTACTGGAAGTCCTAGCCAGACAACCAGGTAAGAGAAAGAAATAAAAGGCATTCAAATAGGAAAAGAAAAAGTCGAACACTCTGTCTTTGCGGAGAGTATGAATCTATACATAGAAAACCCTACAGAGTTTGCCAAAAGGCTCCTGGAAATGATAAACAAATTCAGTAAAGTTTCAGGACAGAAAATCAATGTATAAAAAGCAATAGCAGTTTGATATGCCAATAACATTCTAGCTGAGAACAAAATTAAGAACACAACCTCATTTACAATGGTCACAAAGAAAATGAAATACCTTCTCTCTCTTTATCAGCGGTCCTTGAAGTGTGTCCCACACAGCAGTAGCACCATCACCAGCTGCAACACTGTTACAAACGCAGATTTTTCTGGCCCTACCCAAGATCTACTGAATCAGAAATTCTGGGTGTGGGTTCAGCAACCTATATTTTAACAAGCCCTCTGGGTGATTCTGATGCATGCTAAAGTTGGAGACCCACGTTTGATCTTCATTGCACGCCTGCCATCCACCGGGGAGGGCCCAGATGATCATCCCTAGGTTGCAGAGGAGGCAACCGAGGCACAAAGAGGTTGTGTCTTGCCAAAGACTCCACAACTATTCTGCAGGAGAGCTGTGAGTAGGACTCAGGTCTTCTGACATCGAGTCCAACTCTCTTTCCATTTTCAACAAATATGTATTGAGTGCCTGCCATTTCCAGACACTGTTTTAGGTGCTGGAAAAGCTGCAGGATTTAGTACAAGGTTCTTCTGTAGCTCACAGATCCATGAGAGCCTGAGAACCAGTTCTGGAGGCCCCAAAGCCAGGAACAATGACCCAAATCTCATGCCGCAGCTGCACCCTGTAGGAAGATGGGGTTGGTTCAGGCCCTTTTTGGTGTTCCTGGCTTCAGATTCAGAGGCTGAGGTGACAGTGCCTGACTGGCCCAACTTGGGTCATGTGCTCATATAATAGCGGGAGGTAGTTTCTGCTTCAGAAGGTAGGGCACTCCCAAATGTAGGAAGGGGGTTCAGATGCTGGGCAGTCAAAAACGATAACAAGTGTTTGCTATGAAATATTCCCTCTGGACACCCTTTTTCTTTTGGGAAGCCTTTCTTCCCTACTCACAGTCTGTGTGCTTCAGTGGTTAGCACATATCCTGATTGGCTTCAGCCCAGGACTTTTTTTTTTTTGAGACGGAGTCCCACTCTCTCTCCCAGGCTGAGGTTCAGCGGCACAATTGCACCCCACAAACTGCAACCTCTGTCTCCTGGGTTCAAGTGATTCTCTGCGTTAGCCTCCCGAGTAGCTGGGATTACAGGCACCCACCACCATGCCCGGCTAATTTTTGTATTTTTAGTAGGTACGGGGTTTCACCACGTTGTCCAGGCTGGCCTCAAACTCCTGACCTCAAGTGATCTTCCTCCCTCAGCCTCCCAAAGTGCTGGGATTACAGGCATGAGCCACTGTGCCCAGCCCAGCCCAGGATTTTTGCTAAAGCAATTGAGAATGAGGCCCTCTCTGCTGAGGTTGCCAGCTATCAGGATGTCAGCCAAACTGGTGCTCACTTTGCCACCACTTGAAGACAGCCTGCCTAAGAGTGAAGTCACCACAAAAGAAAGCAAAACCAAGTGATAGAAAGAGACTAAGTTAGAAAATCCCTCCCCACATTCTTTTTGGTGAGGTTTATTTTGAGCAGCATTGTTGTCACTTGCATTCCAAGCCTTAACAAATGGATAATTTACTTTTTTTGTAAATGAATGGGTTCATACTACGCATGCTATTCTTGAATCTTGCTTTTTTTTTTCTTTTTCCATTAACAAATGTCTTGGGCACCTTTCCATGTAGGTAAATACAGACTGCTGCATTTTAAAAAAATGATTGCGGCCCGGCGATGTGGCTCATACCTGTAATCAATCCTAGCACTTTGGGAGGCTGAGGCAGTCGGATTGCCTGAGCTCAGGAGTTTGAAACCAGCCTGGGCAACACGGTGAAACCCTGTCTCTACTAAAAATACAAAAAAATTAGCCAGGCATGGTGGCATGTGCCTGTAGTCCCAGCTACTTGGGAGGCTGAGGCAGAAGAATTGCTTGAACCTGGGAGGTGGAGGTTGCAGTGAGCCGAGATCACACCACTGCACTCCAGCCTGAGCGACAGAGCGAGACTCCATCTCCAAAAAAATTTTAATAAATAAATAAATGATAGCATGAAACACCATTCAGCAGACGTACCATAATTTATTTAATCATTTAATTTTTATTTCTATTTTATATTTTTTGAAATGGAGTCTCACTCTGTCATCCAGGCTAGAGTGCAGTGGTGCAATCTTGGCTCACTGAAACCTCTGCCTCCTGAGTTCAAGCGATTCTCCTGCCTTAGTCTATGGAGTAGCTGGGATCACAGATGCCCGCCACCACACCAAGCTAATTTTTGTATTTTTAGTAGAGACGGGGTTTTGCCATGTTGGCCAGGCTGGTCTTGAACTCCTGACCTCAAGTGATCCACCCGCCTCGGCCTCCCAAAGTGCTGGGATTACAGGCATGAACCACTGTTCCCAGCCCATTTAATCATTTTAGAATAAGGCACAGTTGAGGCCGAGTATGGCGGTTCATGCCTGTAATCCCAGCACTTTGGGAGGTTAAGGGGGGTGGATTGCTTGAGACCAGGAGTTCAAGACCAGCCTGGCCAACATGGTGAAATCCCATCTCTAATACAAAAAAAAATAGCCAGGTGTGGTGGCACATGCCTGTAATCCCAGCTACCTAGGTGGCCGAGGCACGAGAATCGCTTGAACCTGAGAGGCAGAGGTTACAGTGAGCTGAGACTGCACCACTGTACTCCAGCCTGGGTGACAGAGCAAGACTCTCAAACAAACAAACAAACAAACAAACAGAAACAAGCACAGTTAGCTTGTTTCCAGTTTTCTGCTCTTATAAAAAATACTGCATTGGACAGCGCTTGTAGCAGCCAGGGTCCCACCAGGAAACAGATGGCACACTTGGCTGAGGAGCTGGGGAATGCTTACTAAAGGACCATTTACAGAAGTATAGGCAGGATTTACTAAGAGCCACAAGGGATGGTGCAGTACTCCAGGGCTGGTAATAGTACAGAGCTGTTACCATCCCAGGCCTGAAGGGGAAAAGGGGAGAGCAGGTACTGGAATTCTGCAAGAGAGAAAAATTGCAGAGACCTACCTGATAGGAGCTACAGCCTTTGGTAGAGGGACAGAGCCAACCCACAGCAACTCAGTAGGGAGCTATCCTCAGAGGAATAAAAACCTCTGACCTCACTCTCCTCCTGCCCTCTGATCTCCTGCCAGTGCTCCTCATTAGTAAACCCTACTGGAAGCTAGAGTCTTGGAGCCTGCTGATATAGTTCATGCAGTCAGCCTTCCAGGGCACAGAACAGGGTGAAGAGAAACAGCAGGGACAAATGGACGATGTCTAGCACCTTGCTGCTCAATCTGGGGTTCTTGGACCAGCAGCACTGGTATCACCAGGGAGCTTGTTAGAAATGTGGCATCTTGGGCCCACACCAGACCTGCTTAACCAGATCTAGCATTTCAACAGGATCCCCAGGTGACTCACCATACCATACATTAAAGTTTGTGAAGCACAGATCCAGCACATCTTTCTATGCAAGTATAGCTATAGCCTTATTGTTTATGAATTCTCTTCCAGCCTTTTTTTTTTTCCATTGGTCCCTGTGTTGGTTTGGATCCTCTAAGAATCAGATGCCTAGATGTTTGTTTGTTTGTTTGTTTTCTGGGAAAAATACCTACAAAGGACAAAGAGGGAAAGTGTGTAATCCCAGCATTTTGGGAGGCCGAGATGGGTGGACCACTTGAGGTCAGGAGTTTGAGACCAGCCTGGCCAACATGGTGAAACCCCATCTATACTACAATACCAAAAAAATTAGCCAGGTGTGGTGGTGCGTGCCTTTAATCCCAGCTACTTGGTAGGCTGAGGCATGAGAATCGCTGGAACCTGGGAGGCGGAGGTTGCAGTGAGCAGAGATCACACCTCTGCACTCCAGCCTGGGCGACAGAGTGAGACTCCGTCTCAAAAAAAAAAAAAAAAAAAAGAGGGAAAGGGGAAAGTCGGGGAAAAGGGATGGGGAGCCCTCAGACCATGATGCAGGTCTGATACTTGAGAAAGGAGAATGGGAAGTGACGAGGGAAAGTCTCAGCCAGGCAGATGGGGGATTCCCAAGCACGGGTTGTGTCCTATATCATGCAGATGTGGCCAGGTTCTGGTACCACACCATGCTCGGTCACTGACTGGGAGTAGCCAGAGGATACCACAAAGGATCCAAAGGCATAGCCACTGGGAGCTGGCAGTCAACCGTGTTTCCCCTAAAAGTTTCTCCCAAAGGGTAATCTGAGCAATGCACCTCATTTCCAACACAATTCCTTTCAACCAACTTTTTTAAATTAAAATTTTTTCTTAATTTTGAATTTTTTAGGCATGGTATCTTGCTTTATTGCCCAGGCTGGAGTGTAGAGGCTATTCACAGACACCATCGTGGTGCACTGCAGCTTCAAATTCCTGGGCTCCAGTGATCTTTCTGCCTCAGCCTCCTGAGTAGCTGGGACTATAGGTGTGTGCCACGGTACCAGGCTCAGCCAGCATTTACTAAATACCTTCTGTGTGCTAGGCATTATGTGTGTTGAATGATAGAAACATGGCCTCATGGCTCCCAGGAAATCCCACATGACTGCAGAACAGTGGGGTCTATGAGTTTTCATCGTCAATTCAAAGGAAGATGTCACAGTTTGGAGGATGCCACTGACAGCTTCATGGCAGAGCTTGGCTACAAGTTGGGCAGAAATGATGGGTGGGGTCTAGGTCGTTGTAGGAAAAAGGAGGAAACATATTGGAAGGAGAGAGCAGGGGGACAGGAGGACCACAGACTGACAGAGTGGATTAGGCAGGAGATAAGGAAGGCTTAGAAGTAAAATAATCTCGAAAGAGTACAATATTTACTTTAAATGTCTTTTTTTTCCTAATAAGGTAACGATTGTTTTAAAGAATTCTGATGTTGTAGAAATATAGAATGTAAACTCCTTGAGATCAATGGCTTTGGATATTGTTTACCTCAAATCCCCAGAATCTAGCACACTGACTCCCAGATGGTAGGTGATCAATAAATATTTGTTGAAAAAAAAACAAATAAATGGAACAAAAGTGAAAGGACCACAGAATCTCACCCATCAGAAGTAAATATAATATAGTTAATGGTTTGGTAAATATTCCTTTAGATTTTTTCCCCTTTCATATGTTAATATATATTATTTTACAAAAATAGGATCATACTATTCATATAGCTCCACGACTTGCTTCTCTTTTCTTTACAATGCATCTTGAACACATGTGTATGTTAAATGCCTACAACTAACTCATGCTTGCAAATAGCACTGTGGTATATTATGGTATTGTACGGATGTGCAATATTTTATTTTATAATCTCTTGATGGAAATTTGGATTGTTTCCAACTTTTTGCTTTTATATACAATACTGCCATAAGCTTCCTTGTATGCATATCTTTTGAGCACTTACGAGTCTATGTTTGTTGGATAGATTCCTAGATGTGGAATTGCAAAATCAAAAAGATGTTAATATTAACATTTCTAATAAATGTTGCCTAATTGCTTTCCAAAAGGTTATACTAGTTTGCATTCCTACCAACAGTGGATGAGAGTGTTTTTTCACATCCTTGCCAACACTGGAATTAATAGCCATTTTCATTTTTGCCAGTCTGATAGGTGAAAAAATATTTCAGGGTAGGTTTATTTTGTATGTATTTTAGAGAGATCGAGCATATTTTCATACTTTTATAAACTATTTATATCCTTTTGGGTGGGAACTGTCTATTTAAATCCTTTGACCATTTTTATTTCTGTTTGTTCTCTTTATTTCCCTATTGATTCACATACTGGGTAAATGTCATCTGCAAATATCTCTTTCTGACTTGCCTTTTGTTTCTGGACTTTGTATTATACTGGAAGCCTTACAGAATTCAAAATTTTTATATAGTCACATTTAGAAATATTTTCCATATGGTCTCTGGTTTTTCTCATTCAATACTTTTATAATTAAATTCCTTCCCTTCCCTTCCTTCCTTCCTTCCTTTTTTTGCTTATTTACTGTGGCATCTTCAGATCATTTGGAATTTATTTTGATGTAAAGTGTGATGTTGGGACTTGATTTGAATTTTTTCCAAATGGTTATCAAGTTGTCCCAATTATTACTTGAATTAGGCACATGTTCCCCACTAATATTTGAAATACCACATCTACCATAGATCATATTAAACTCTAAAAGGAATGTAATAACTCCTATGAAGAGAGCTAATATGACAAATTAAAAGCATCTTCTAGAGATATCTACTTGTTGGTGAGCAGCCGATGACATAACATGGTACTGTTAGTGAACAGATAAGCCCCCTAAAAATAGCAATAAACCCAAGGGCTTTACCTCTGTTGAAAAGATGCTAGATTTCCAACAAGCTCCCAGGTGGTACCAATGCTTCTGGTCTAAATATCATACTTCACTCAGCAAGGTGCTGGACATCTTCCCTTTGCCTTACTGACACTCTCTCCACTCTGTTTTGTGCCCCGGGAGGCTGACTGTGCAGACTGTATCACTCAATCTTCTCAACAACCCTGTTCAGGTGGTGCTATCATTAGATCACCATTTAATAGATGAGCAAATTGAGCCGAGATAAGTAAAGCAACTTGCCTGAGGTCACACTGCAATTCGTGATGGGGCTGGGTTGAGCTCAGGCAAGTGGGCTCCAAGGTTGTGTTCCGACCTCCTAAGCTAAGCTGCCTTTGCATCTCATTGCAGCCTGCCCAACAGTGAGTGGTGTGGTGGGAAATCCTGGACTGTGAGTCAGGAGACCCAGATACAAATCCTCCCTCTACCGCTTGCATGTTGTGTAACCTTGGGCAAGTTGCTTCACTTCTTGAGCCTACATATTCTCATCTGTCAACCTTGCAAGGTTGTCATAGGGTGAAATGAGAAAGTACATGAAAAAGAAAGTCCAGCAGTTTACAGCACACAGTGTGTGCTCAGTAAACAATAGCTTTTATCTGTTACCTGGGGCTTAAGTCCATGTCTTGTAAGGCCTAATTGCATTTCTCTTTTCTCTGTATCTGAACCTCTATTGAGAAGCATTCCAATTTGGCAAGCGGATCCAAGACATTATGAATTGTAATCCTTGTCTGTTTTCTAATCTGACCGCAGATCTTAAATGTGTTGGGTGTCTGAACAGAGGCCAAAGGGCTCAGGTCCAGACCTACCTAACACAACCGCCTTCTGGCATTAACCAGCAGCCTCCATTCTGCGTGGGAAGCAGGCGGGGCCCTGAGCACTGTGGGAAGAGCCACTTCCCTCTAGTCTAATATTAGCAGCAGGTTGTCCTGAGTGGGAGCTGCTTTGCATGGTTCATCCCAAAACCCACCCCCCTCCTGCAACCTGAGGGAGATTTCCTCTGGGGATACCAGTAGCCAAAGGCTGTATGAAGACAACAGCAAGTCAGATTCTACCTCTACCTGAGCCGCCAAGTTCAAGGTCCTCTCCCCACCCTGTGTCTCAGACCCCGCATTTATCAATGAGATAATTGGACCAGATTTGTGCTTTTTAAACTTTCTGGGCTTCTGGTCTCCTTGAGAATATTTGATAAAAAGCTTTGGACCAACTTCCCATGGTAAAACAAACAACAACAAATAGAGCTTACACTCTATCCTTCTACAGGGGATACAGAATGATTCTTTTCCCTGAGCTAGACACCAGCAGAGGGAGTTCCAGATTAATTTAAGATATGATTTGAAATCTCTGCTATCACTTTTACATTCAGATATCTGTGTAGACATTACTTCATCAGAGAAGCTTTCCAAAACCCCCAAACTAGATCAAGTTCTACTATTCTAAGCCCTTTTAGCGCCCTGTAATTCTTCTTCAAAATACTTAACACAATTCTAATTATCTTTTTAATATTTGTCTACTCCATTAGACTTACTTCGTCCCTGGCAGCTCAAGGCTCCCACAGCAGTGATCTCATGAACAGGGCGGCAGCTTCATGGCCTTTTTTGGTTGTTGTTTAATAGAAACAGGATCTCGCTTTGTCATCCAGGCTGCAGCGCAGTGGCGCATAGTTCACGGTAACCTCCAATTCCTGGGCTCACACAATCCTCCTGCTTCAGCATCCTGAGTAGCTGGCACTATAGGCACGTGCCACCATGCATGGCTAATTCTGAAATTTTTCTGTAGAGATGGGAGTCTTGCTATGTTGACCAGTCTCGTTTTAAGCTCCTGGCTTCAAGTGATCCTCCTATCTCGGCCTGGGATTACAGGTGTGAACTATCATGTACAGCCTTCATGGCCTTTTGCTCCTAGCCTCAGAGGTCACAGAGCTATCACGAGGCGAGCCAGGCGAGGGTTTGCTATTCAAGGACTCCAAAGAGTATGGCAGAGGCTGGGCCTGCAGAAGTCAGTGGGGCAGCGTGGTGTCTGTTGATCTCATCGCACCTCCATCTCCTCATCTGTAAAAGGGAGCTCGTAATCCTAGTTGATGGTTGTTTTATTGGACTGTGTAAAGATCAGATGAGATAATGGCAGTAGAATTCATAACACCCTGCAGGGTGTATTCAGCCAACACTTAGCGCCTACAATATGCCAGGCGCTAAGGGTTTTACCACCACTATCTCTTTAATAATGCACCATAGCCCAAGAAGGAAGATGCAAGTCTCAGCCAGCCCACTTGAAGACCCTGCCGAAATGAGCCACCCCGGGGGCTGCGCTTGGGCTGGCGCGGGGCTGGACGGAAAGGGGGCGGCGCGCAGGTGGGGCGGGCCGGGGGCGGGGCGGCACGGCGGTTCCGGGATCCGGGTCCTGGCCTCCACCGCCGCCTTGGGGCGCGCAGATCGCTGGCTGCAGTTGGCGGGCGCATGTGGGGGCGCACGGCGCGGCGGCGCTGCCCGCGGGAACTGCGGCGCGGCCGGGAGGCGCTGTTGGTGCTCCTGGCGCTACTGGCGTTGGCCGGGCTGGGCTCGGTGCTGCGGGCGCAGCGTGGGGCCGGGGCCGGGGCTGCCGAGCCGGGACCCCCGCGCACCCCGCGCCCCGGGCGGCGCGAGCCGGTCATGCCGCGGCCGCCGGTGCCGGCGAACGCGCTGGGCGCGCGGGGCGAGGCGGTGCGGCTGCAGCTGCAGGGCGAGGAGCTGCGGCTGCAGGAGGAGAGCGTGCGGCTGCACCAGATTAACATCTACCTCAGCGACCGCATCTCACTGCACCGCCGCCTGCCCGAGCGCTGGAACCCGCTGTGAGTGCACAGCTCTGGGGAGGAAGCCCGCCCTCAGAGCCCCGGGCCTCAGTTTCTCCATCAGAGCAGTGGCAGGGCGGGGAGCTGGGGTCTCCAGGATGGCGCGTCTTATTGAGTCTTTCTCCGAAGACGATAGTGTAAGAGCTCACATGGGGGCGGGGAGGCAAGAAAGTAAAAAAGACGAAAGTAGAAAAAAAATTACCAGAAATTGGCAAGTCTGTTAGTGATCTCTTAGCTCCCTTCTCCTTGAGAAGTTATCATCTCCCTGAAAAGGTGAGGGTCAGGGCTAAGCAGAAGGGTTTAAGGCGAGGACCCCCCAGCACCCAAAGGACAACCCCGCTCTGCCCGCCTCGCAGTGCCTCCGCGAAACTGACAACTCCTCCGGGCGGTGACCGGCTCCATTCATTCTCTGTGTGTGCCAGGGCCTAAGGGACAAACAAGATGCGAGGGAGCGCCCCACAGGTGAAGCGAAAGATGGCTGTAAGGCCCCCTCAGCGCTAGAAAGCCTCCTTGTGCTCTCCCTGGGCATTGGATTTCTGAGCTTTGGGTGGAGGAAGGCGGGAAGGGGCACGGGGTGGGAAGGGCTCCTTCTGGCCGTGATCCACCCCAGCTCACTCCTGTGGGTGGTGCTGGACTGGAGCCAGCGTGGTCAGAGGCCTAGTTCCTGTTGGAGCTACTGGCTGGGCAGGTTGCGCCCCTGCCTAGGTGGGGATCCAGGGCACACGCTGGCAGCAGGAGGAAGGACAGGTGGCTGCTGCCACCTTTGCCGCTGGGCCTCCCGGGCTCTCACTTTTTCTTCGAAGTGTCAGGGATCTTCCAAGTCCTTTTTTGAGCCCCTTCCTTACAGACTTTGAGGAAAAGAGGACTCAGAGAGGGGGTTCCCATTGGAGCTGGTGGTGGCAGCCTGCCGTGTGCACCAGGCACCTGCCACTCCTCTCCCCTTCAAGCCATTCCTGCTTTACAGGTGTGGAAATAGGTTCGGAAAGGATAGGTGACCCACCCAAGGCCCCTCAGCTGGAATGTGGTAGGACTGGTCTGGAGGGACTATGGCCCTTCTGGCCCACTTGGCACCATGCTGATCTCAGGATTTTAGGGGCCTGCTCCATGGTACCTTGGCCAGAGAGACCATGAATGATGGAATGAGGATGCCCCACCTCTGCCCCACTGTTTCCACTGTCTTCCCTGTTTTGGGGATCTCCTCATGCCTAGCCTCATGCTTCTGCCTGAGGCATTTTTCACTGTTAGTCTTTTTGAATAAAACTTTGTTGGGATTGATAGTAGTTCCTCCACTCACCAGCCTAACGCATGTTTAGCTCCTCGAAACCCCGAGGGTGCCCGCTGAGGCAAGGTGGAGGGGAAGCTTTCAGGTTATACCCAGCTTCAGATTAAATCCAGCCCAGGGGAGATAAAATCCTGGTTCTTTTGCTCGTCACTTCTGTGATCTCTGGCAAGCTGCTTAGCCTCTCAGAGCCTTGGTTTCCCTTCGTTTGCGAAATAGGAAACTCATAAAAGTGAGTCTCCATGCATTCTACATAAAAGTGAGTGGAAAGAACACAACTTAGGAATTAATAAAGCATCAATACCTGGGAGCACACTGTGTGCTTAAATCTTAGTTTTTTCACCTTTCCCTGTTGCCAAGAATGTACTCAAGAGGTTGCTTTTGAGAGTCATCCAGGGATTGGTTGTAGTTTTTCTTTCCTGGATCCAACTTCCTTTATTGTCGCAGGTTGTGAATATCTCTTTGAAACACTGTGGACAATCTGTGGGGCTTATGGTAACCTGTCTCCATGGTGACGCAGCTGCCCTGTGTCCTCTCAGGATTTGCTTGTAGATCCTGCTGTTGCATTGACCCTGGAAGTTAAGCCAAACCCAGCATGATAAGGAGTGTGAATGCCTCCTGCTTCTAATTCCTGCAGCAAGGCCTGTTGGGTTATTCTTACCCAGCCAGAGAGAAAGGTGAGCCTGAGCTGTGTGGGTCTCTGTTGGGCCAGGCTTTGAGATGTAACTTCAGAGTGGTCAGTAGGGTCAGGGTATTTTGTGGCATCTCACTTTTATTACAGTTCATCCAGGAGCTAATCAGGGTCTTGAGATTTTGCCTGAGAAACCTGAATGGCAGATCATAAGTTCACAGTGTGGGTATGGGGTTCTCTGCGAGTCTAATAAACAGAGGGATAATGAGGGTCCTTGAATGTTGCAGGAGGGAGGGCCCTGAGGGAGGAGCATCTAGTCTAACCAGAGAGGAAAAGCCACACCCCCAGGTCACATAGCACATCTCAGGCAGAGCCACAGTCCATATCTGTTACTCGTTCCTCCCTTTTTGGGTGGGGATGATTATTTCTATGTTTATTTTAATTATGAAAGCAATGCATATTCACTCTAGAAATGTTGGCATGCACAGAGAAACAGAAAAGGAAAAAAATGAAAATCCCCAATAAACCTACCACTCAGGGAGAACCATTGTTAACATTTTGCTGTGCCTCCTAGACTTTTAATGAAAGTCTTTACTCTGCAGTGCCTTTTATCAGAGGAAAGGAGTTGGGAATGACTAAGGGACCACTTGGTTTGACTCTTCCTGGTGTCAGCAGGGTGTGGCACTGTGTCTGCCTTCTTGAAGAAGGCCAGACCACTAAAAAGACATTTTAGAGTACTGGTCCTAATTCTGTGAGAGCCAGTATAGACCTGGGCCCCTCTATGAATCTAATAATTTACATGCCAGTGGATTCGAGTATAGTTTTGTTAGTTACAGCACTGAATTGAAGAGGAGGCTAATGATGACTAGGAATCCTTCCTTGCATGGTAACATAGTAAGTATTAATATATATTAATATAAATAAGTATAGTAAGTAAGTCAGTAAGCATAGTAGTATAGTATGACTAGCATCTCAGCAAAGAAGGTGAATTTTTACTCTGAGATGATAGCGGGTCAAAGTGGGGAGACAGATAGTTGGGTGTGTGGCCCTGGGGAACTTTAAAAAATATATTGATGCCAGGAATCTTCCCCAAAACAATGAAATCAGAATATCTGTGGCTAGGACCTAGGCTGAATCTGATATGCAACCACGGGTGAAAGCTACTGGCCTAGAGCCTGTGGATTTCTGAGTCAGAAGATTTAGGGTGAGTGTTTTGGAGGGTGTGGAGAATACCAGAACTAGAGAAAGTAAGGATTAATAACAGGTCAAATGTAGTTCAAGCCAGTGATGACATCATAGTCAACTGAGTGGTGTGTCACAAGGAAATGGTTATTAGTAATGTTGTACCAAAATTTGCAAAAAGTTTTAGTTTCCATAGAATACGGGGAACTTGAGATGATCACTGTAACATCATTCTCATTTGCATTCTGATATTTAGTAGAAGAGAGAGTGGAGTAACAGACAGTGCCCTCAGGGCTGGACATTTCTTCAGGTCTATCTATGACAGGAATCCCATATGTGTGAACACCAGCCATTCTCTACCAGGGCAGAAGAACTGTGAACCATTGGTCAAGGAAAGCATGGTGTTTTTATTTCTTGACTTGCTCTGGTTTTAGGCTTGTTAATACTATAATTGCAGATGTGTGTCTGAGTTCAGGGGTCAGGATTTGGGTGCTGGGATGGCAAAGAGTCTCGAAGTCGTTCTTTTTTTTTTTTTTTTTGAGATGGAGTCTTGCTATGTTGCCCAGGCTGGAGTACAATGGTGCGATCTTGGCTCACTGCAACCTCCACCTCCTGGGTTCAAGCCATTCTCCTGCCTCAGCCTCCCGAGTAGCTGGGATTATAGGCAAGCGCCACCACACCCAGCTAATTTTTGTATTTTTAGTAGACACGGGGTTTCACTATGTTGGCCAGGCTGGTCTCAGACTCCTGACCTCAGGAGATCTGCCCGTGTTGGCCTCCCAAAGTGCTGGGATTATAGGCGTGAGCCACCATGCCCAGCCTCAAAGTGGTTCTAAACAGGTAATTAAGCAAAAGTATGTCTTGCTAGGGTTGCAGAAGGGAGTAGGACATTAGACTGATGTTTATTTTGTTTCCCCAACAAAGTTGTGGATATTTTATGAATTCTTATTAGATCCATCTTGAGAACATCAGAGTGGCATTCTTTCTTGAGTCAGTACTCCAGTACTTCAAATCCACAGAACATGTTCAATTTCGGTTAGTATTTTCCTGATACCTTTTTCTTTCACTCATTCTGTGTCCATATGTTTTTGGTGTGTCTTTGAATAGTATGTTGCTCGATTTTGTGTTGTCATTAAAAAAAAATCCAGGCCAGGAGTGGTGGCTCACGCCTATAATCTCAACACTTTGGAAGGCCGAGGTGGGTGGATCACTTGAGGTCAGGAGTTCGAGATTAGCCTGGCCAACATGGTGAAAACCTGTCTGTACTAAAAATAGAAAAATTAGCTGGGCGTGGTGGTGGGTGTCTGTAGTCCCAGCTACTTGGGAGGCTGAGGCAGGAGAATTACTTGAACCCAGGAGGCTGGAGGTTGCAGTGAGCCAAGATTGCACCACTGTACTCCAGCCTGGGCGACAGAACAAGACTCCATTTAAAAAGAAAAATCCAAACTGACAATCATTAACTTTTAACAAGATAGTTATATCCACTTACATTTATTGTGCTTACTGATGCTTTTGGATTTGATAGTGCTGTCTTATTTTATGTTTTCATTTGTTATGCTTTTTTGGTGTTTTCCCCCTCTTTTTTCCTACTGCTTTTTGAGTCGATAGAGGCTTTTCCCCTCATTCCATTTTTTTCCTCTCTACTAATTTAGTAGTTATATTATCTATTTCTAACCTTAGTGGTAAATTTTAAAGTACATATTTAACTCAACAAAGTCTAAAATTAAATATTAACTATGGACCATAGAATGCTTTAGTATTGATCATCTTCTCTCCTAATTTGTATGCCATTTTGCTCCAATATTTTAATTCTGTCTTGCTTTTAAACCAACAAATTAGAATAGCTAAAAATGCAGTATTTATTTGTTCAGATTTATCCACAAGTTTACCATTTTCTCTGCTCACTATTCTTTCCTGAGTCAGAGACCTTTCTGGGATTCTTCTCCTTCTTCCTGAAATACATCATGTATTAATTGCTGTAGAGAGGTCTATTGTTAGTCCTCAGTTTTCTTTATCTGAAAATGTTTTTATTTTGCTCTTGTTCATGAAAGTTTTGCTGGGTATATAATTCTACATTGGTAGTTTGACATTTGAAGGTATTATTCCCTTGTCATCTGGTTTGCACCATTGCTATGAGATGCCTACAGTGACCCAGATCTCTCTGTCATTCTTGTTTCTTTGTCATTCATTTGAGGTCTTCTTTTATTTAAGCATATTAAGCATACTTATTTTATACTCTATGTCTGGTAATTATGTTATCTAGATTAGTGTTTTCTTGTTGTTCCTTCATGAAGAAGACTTCTTTTACTTTCCTGTCGGCTAAGCCATCCATTTAAAAAATTTTTTTTTTTTTGAGATGGAGTTTTGCTCTTGTTGCCCAGGCTGGAGTGCAATGGTGCGATCTCAGCTCACTGCAACCTCCACCTCCTGGGTTCAAGTGATTCTTCTGCCTCAGCTTCTCCCTAGTAGCTGGGATTATAGGCGCCTGCCACCATGCCCTGCTAATTTTTGTATTTTTAGTAGAAACGGGGTTTCACCATGTTGGTCAGGCTGGTCTTGAACTCCTGACCTTAGGTGATCCACCTACCTTGGCCTCTCAAAGTGCTGGGATTACGGGTGTGAGCCACAGCGCCCAGCCAAGAGATTTAAAAAAAAAAAACTTTTTATCAAGATTTTTTGGGTGTATATACCAGGAGTGTTTCCCTAGACATCTTAGTCTTCCATGTTGCCAGAAGTAGAAGTCCTATATTCACTTTTTAAAAATAATTATTTTCTACACTAGACAGGATTCTTTTGGTTAAAAGTAACTGAAAGCCCAATGCAAACTGCCTTAAATATAAAAGAAAATATATTGGGTTCTATTATAGAAAAGTCTGGGATGAGAACTGAGTTCAGGTTATTCTGGGCCCTGGATTCAGGGACTCAATTGATGTCATCACGAAATTATTGATTGGTCAGGCCTGAGGCATGTAACCTTCCCAGGGGTAGGGGTGTGTGTCTGTGTGTCTCTGTGTGTATATGCATGTGCTTGTGTATGTTCAGCCCTCCACAAACCACATAGACTGAGAATTGGAAAAGGTTGGCTCTTGAAAGGGAAATCAAGATGCAGTGTACAGTGAAGAAAGGAGAAAGGATTCTAGGCAGGTAAGACACAAAAATGTACATCACGATCTCCTTGGCCTTTTCTACAGAGGATATGATTTGATTTTTTTTAAAAGACATTTATGTGATAACCTTAATATAAAGATAAAAGAAGATCAGGAGGGGCTGGGTGCAGTGGGTCATGCCTGTAATCCCAGAACTTTAGGAGGCCAAGGAGGGCGGATCACTTGAGGTCAGGAGTTCGAGACCAGCCCTGTCCAAAATGGCGAAACCACGTCTTTACTAAAAATACAAAAATTAGCCAGGCATGGTGGCGGACACCTGTAATCCCAGCTACTTGGGAGGCTGAGGCAGGAGAATTGCCTGAACCTGGGAGGCAGAGGTGGCAGTGAGCCAAGATCCCACCACTGCACTCCAGCCTGGGTGAAAAAAAAAAAAAGGAAGATCAAGAGGCATTTACTGTATCCATTAATTCATTCATATCCATATAATAAGTAAATATTCTACCAGCAGAGATTATTGTAGTCCCTACCCAGTAGGGTTGTTAGGAAGGCTACATGAAGTAATGTGTATAAAATGCTTATATGGTGCCTCTCCTGTATTAAGCACTCAACAAATGGTACTGTTACTACCAGGTAAAGTACAAGGCGTGCTGAAAATACAGAGACAAACACAGCTCAGTCTCTGCCCTTACAAAGCACATGCAATATACCAGAAACTTAGGGAAATGATTGTGTGCTGTGATGTAGCATTAAATCCAGTTCTGAGCTTCCTTTTGTCCTCAAGGCAAAAGTGGAACCTTAAAGTGATCCATAGCTGTCTTTGTATGATCAAAAGATGCACAGCTTTTTATTAGTCAGGAAAAGGAGAAAGTGTTTTTTTCTGGAAGCAAACTTAAAGACATTTCAAAAAGATATACAGACGATCTCCGATTTAAGATCGTTTGACTTAAGATTTTTCAACTCTATCATAGTACCCATTGCAACCAACCTGGTTTTCACTTTTGGTACATATTTGGTAAATTATATGAGGTATCCAATACTTTATTATACAGTAGATTTGTGTTAGATGATTTTGCCCAACTATAGACTAATGGAAGTGTTCTGAGCACATTTAAGATAGACTAGGCTAGGCTGTGGTGTTCAGTAGGTTAGGTGTATTAAATGCATTTTCTACTTAGAATGTTTTCAACTTACGATGAGTTTATTGGGATGTAACCCCACCGTAAGTCAAGGGGCATTGGTATTGAACCTCATAAAACAGAATGCCTTTAGGAGATGTTTTCAAAAAAGAAACAGAAACTATACCAGGACAAGAAAAAGAGAAAGGGCAGAGTATTAAATTATTGCTCAATGAAGGCATTTGCTGTGAGGAACTAAAGAAATATGATCTAATCTTTTAAAAATAATATTTCTTTGTGATTATAAAAATTATAGATGTTCATTTTAGGACAATTTTAGAATGCACAAAAATATAAAAAGTAAGAATCAGCAATAATCTCACTTCTTAGAGATCACCATTGATAACATTTTGGCATATTTCTTTCTATTGTTTATTGTTTATGCGTGAACGCGCTCACATACACGTTGTTGTTTCTAGAATTGGCTATCTGTAGATTTCTATCCTGCCTTTTTGATTTAACATTATAGTGTGACCATTCTCCTTTATCATTAAATATTCTCTAAAAAATGTTATTTTGTTGTTTTACGTGGTGCCTCTCATGTAGTAAACACTCAACAAAGGGTACTGTTATTACCAGGTAAAGTACAAGGCGTGCTGAAAATACATGGCCATGATTTCCTCATGCAGCCATACTATACTATATTTTCTTCTTGTTCGACATTGAAATTGTTTGCAGCTTTTTGCTATTATAAATAATGTTACAAAGAAAAATTTTTACAACAAGCCTCCTTCAGGGTATTCTGACTATTTACTTAGGCAAGAAATGTTTATGTATGTTGATATGAGATCAAAGAAAAGAGGAACATTTTAAAGCTCTGAATATTAATTGAAAAATTGGCACCCAGCCTTCTTGTGATTTAGATGGCACAAATGAAGAGCCCACCTAGACATTCTAGAATGGTGGCCCTAGGCTATTGGTTTTAGTGGAAACACATTAAAAAAAGAAAAAAAAAAAAAAAGCAGGGCTGACAAGAGAAGAAATAAATTTTCATCCAAAATACTAAGGATGTGATTTCAGACTAAAGGATTGTTCTCTACATTGAATGCACCTCACTTTGAAAACCTCACTTCACCGTCCTTATTGTCAATTATTTCTCTTGAACTTGTGCATGTTTGAAACAAAGTTTTAGCAGCATCTTAAGAAAAAATATTTATTTTAGGTTTCACAGAAACACTTTTGTTTTTCATGTAGTGTAAGCAATTAACTTTTTTTTTTTTTTTTTGAGTCAGGATCTGGCTCTGTCACCCAGGCTGGAGTGCAATGGCGCCATCTCAGCTCACTGCCACCCCCGCCTCCCTGACTCAAACCATCCTTCCACCTCAGCCTCCTGAGTAGCTGGGACTACAGGTGTGTGCCACCATGTCCAGCTAATTTTTTTTTTTTTTTTTTTTTTTGAGACACAGTCTTGCTCTGTTGCCCAGGCTGGAGTGCAGTGGCCCCTGATCTCGGCTCACTGCAAGCTCTGCCTTCCGGGTTCATGCCATTCTCCTGCCTCAGCCTCCCAAGTAGCTGGGACTACAGGCACCAGCCACCACGCCTGGCTAATTTTTTGTATTTTTTTAGTAGAGACGGGGTTTCACCTTGTTAGCCAGGATGGTCTTGATCTCCTGACCTCGTGATTCACCCGCCTCGGCCTCCCGAAGTGCTGGGATTACAGGCGTGGGCCACTGTGCCCAGCCCAGCTAATTTTTGTATTTTTGGTAGAGACAGGTTTTTGCCATGTTGCCCAGGCTGATCTCCAACTCCTGGGCTCAAGCGATCCTCCCACCTTGGCCTCTCAAAATGCTGGGATTACAGGTGTGAGCTACCGCGCCTAGCCTCGCGGTTAATTCTTTCTGAGGCTCCTGGTGAGCTACAACTCAACACAATCTAGCTTTTCTATGCATCTTGTCTAGTATTCAGGGGCTTAATAATGAAGACGCAGTTATTAATATTTTTATAATACACACACATATGTTTTCCATTTGCTATAACATGTATTTGTTGGAGGGGGGATGTTTCTTTTTGTTTTTTTGTTTTGTTTTGTTTGTTTTTGAGATGGAGTTTTGCTCTTGTTGCCCAGGCTGGAGTGCAATGGCGCGATCTTGGCTCACTGCAACCTCCGCCTCCCAGGTTCAAGTGATTCTCCTGCCTCAGCCTCCGGAGTAGCTGGGACTACAGGTGCCCACCACCACGTTCTGCTAATTTTTGTATTTTTAGTAGAGACGGGGTTTCACTATGTTGGTCAGGCTGGTCTAGAACTCCTGACCTTGTGATCCACCCGCCTCAGCCTCCCAAAGTGCTGAGATTACAGGCATGAGCCACTGCACCCGGCCCAGAGTGAGGATGTTTTGGTAGATATGAGAAATAATGAGATTGAGGAGGGCATTTGTAAGGGCCACTAAAATTGAGCTACATAGCTATAGATCAGAATAGACTTGGTGTTTGGATGTGTCCACAACATTGGACCTTTTTTTCCTCTTTTTATATTAAAGTTTTAATTTGGAAAAATTTAAACCTGGAGAAAATTTATGACACACCAGCATAACAAACTTCTATAAATCCTCCACCTAGATCCACCCATTATTGTTTTGGCCCATTTAATCACTTTTTCTCTTTCTGTATGTCTACTATAATATTATATACATTTGAGAGTAAGTTATAGAAATAACAGTTCTTTACCTGTCTCTACTTCAGCATGTATTTTCAAAGAACAAAGACATTCTCTCATGATACCATGATATAATATCAAGTCCAGAATATTTATCCAATATCGGATGTCTATAGCTGTCCCAACTTATTATTTTTTTTTTTTTAGACGAAGTCTCGCTCTGTTGCCCAGTCTGGAGTGCAATGGTGCTATCTTGGCTGACTGCAACCTCCGCCCCCCGGGTTCAAGCCATTCTCCTGCCTCAGCCTCCTGAGTAGCTGGGATTACAGGCAGGCGCCGCCATGCCCGGCTAATTTTTTTGTATTTTTAGTAGAGATGGGGTTTCGCCACGTTGGTCAGGCTTGTCTCGAACTCCTGACCTCAGGTCATCTGCCGGCCTCGGCCTTCCAAAGTGCTGGGATTACAGGTGTGAGCCACCACACCTGGCCAGCTGTCCCAACTTTTATAGCAAGATTTTTCCTTCCTAATCTAGTATCTAAGCAAGAATCAGGTGTGACACTTTAATCAGGCCATTGCTGTGCCTCTTTAGCCTCACTCAGTCGGGAACAGTTCCTCAGTCTCTCATGGTCTGTTATGACGTTGACATTTTTGAAGAGTAAAGACCCGTTGGTTTATAAAATGTCTCAGTTTGGGTCTGTCAGACACTTTCTTTGTGATTTATTTTATGGTATGTATTACTGCAAAATTTAGTGGCTTAAAATAGCAATAAACACTTGTTATTTCACATAGTTTCTATGGACTAGGAATTTAGGAGTAGCTTAACTGGGTGGTTCTGACTTGGAATCTCTCTTGAGATTATAGCCAAGATGTCACTTGGGACTTTGATCCCCTGAAGGCATAATTGGGTGGGGCTGGAGGTTCTGATTCCAAAATGGCTCATTCACGTGGCTGGAAAGATTGTACTGGCTGTTGGCAGGAAGTGTCAGTTGCTTGCCACATAGACTCCTCCATAGGGCTGCTTGAGTATCCTCACAACATGGCAGCCGGCTTTCTCCAGAATGGATGATACCTTCCATTGAGGAAACAAGAGGAATCCTCAATGTTTTATGATGTAGTCTTGGAAGTCACATACTGTTTCTCCTGCATTTCATGTGTGGTGGTTTTAAAATATATCCACAAATTCTTTGATAGCCTCTGTCTAAGAGATGGAGCCGCATTCTCCTCCCCTTGAATGTGGACCAGGCTCCCTTCTCTGGAGCACAAAGCCTTCCACGGGGTCAGTGCTAAGTTAACTACTTGCATGAGTTGAAAGCCTATGGTGTCTGGGGATTCGGCTCCTGGCTGGCTAGGTGCTGGTGGGGATGCCCAGTGGCTTCACAACACCAGAGCTTTCATGCTTCCAGCCTGGGCTGACCTTTTCTCAAGTGCCCAGAGCAGGGCCTCCTGATGCAGCCAGGATGAGTATATAAAGCTGACTGAGAACAGCCAGCCCCTATCAGAGATTCTCAGATAAGCCTGTTCACAGCTGAAGGGAAATCATCCCAGTGACAGCAGAGCAAGGCCACTGCCAGGGAGCCTTGGAACTTGCTGTAGAGGCTGTCCTGGCATTAGGAAGAGGGACCTAGAACTCATTCCAGGGAAGAGGACCCTGGACCCCGAGAAGGAGAAGAGTAATTGTCCTTGTCTTGGTAGGAGGGAAGGCCAGGTGGGGAGATGTGATACAGGGATCTTTAGATTCAGATGGCCCACCTGAGCCTCCTGTTGGGTAGAAGGAACAAGCCAGAACCTTGCAACAAGATCCCTGGACACAAAGATCTCAGCCCAGTACATACTAGCAGGTGCTCTGTGAACTGACCAAGTCACTCTACCTTTCTTAGCCTTTAACGTGGGAGCAATAAATGCTAACATAGGAAGTGGTTTTGAAGGTAAAATGAAGTACTACATGTCATCAATTCAGAGGCACATTTTTTTCCCACATTTCAACATTTCTAAAATTAGCATGTGTCTTAAAAATCAATGCATCTTACCATTATGCCAGGTAGCACTTGTCTTTTTTTCCCCCCAGGTTTTAAGTTTATAGGTACATGTGCAGGATATACAGGTTTGTTACATAGGTAAACGTGTGCCATGGTTGTTTGTTGTACAGATCATCTCATCACCTAGGTATTAAGCCCAGCATGCATTAGCTATTCTTCCTGATACTCTCCCTCCTCCCACCCCCGACGACAGGCCCCAGTGTGTGTTGTTCCACTCCATGTGTCCATGTGTTCTCATAATTCAGTTCTCACTTAAAAGTGAGAACATGTGGTATTTGGTTTTCTGTTCCTGCATTAGTTTGCTGAGGATGATGGCTTCTAGCTCCATCCATGTCCTTGCAAAGGACATAATCTCATTCCTTTTTATAGCTGCATAGCATTCCGTGGTCTACATATATACCACATTTTCTTTATCCAGTCTATCATTGATGGGCATTTAGGTTGAGTCCATGTCTTTGCTATTGTGAATAGTACAGCAATGAACATGCGCGTGCATGTATCTTTATAATAGAATGATTTTTATTCCATTGGGTGTGTACCCAGTAATGGGATTGCTGGGTCAAATGGCATTTCTGCCTCTAGGTCTTTGAGGAATCGCCACACTCTTTTCCACAATGATTGAACTAATTTACACTCCCAACAACAGTGTAAAAGCTTTCCTCTTTCTCCACAACCTTGCCAGCATCTGTTGTTTCTTGACTTTTTAATAATAGCCATTTTGACGGGTGTGGGATTGTATCTCTTCTTATTGGTTCATTAAAGAATGTCGTGTCTTCCAACCCAGGGCTGCTTAACTTTGTTGAAATACTGTAGACTGGAGCACAAAGGTAATTTTCTAAGGTATGACAAAAATACTATGCTTATTAAAAAAGAGTCCTTACCTGTTAGAGACACATATCGAACTATTTTTGGATGCTACAGTATGCTGGATTTTCTTTAGAAATAATCTGGGGCAGAGGGAGTGGTGTTGACACAGATGAATCAAGAGTACAGTGGCACGATCTAGGCTCACTACAACCTCCATCTCCTGGGGTTCAAGTGATGCTCATGCCTCAGCTCCCTGAGTAGCTGAGGTTATAGGCGTGTGCCATCATGCCCGGCTAATTTTTGTATTTTTAGTAGAGATGGAGTTTCACCATGTTGGTCAGGCTGGTCTCGAACTCCTGGCCTCAAGTGATCTGCCGGCCTCAGCCTCTGAAAGTGCTGGGATTACAGGCATGAGCCATCATGCCCGGCCCTGTTCTGCTTTTTTAATGTTGAAATTTCTGGCCAGGCGCGGTGGCTCACACCTGTAATCCCAGCACTTTGGGAGGCCGAGGTGGGCGGATCACAAGGTCAGGAGATTGAGACCATCCTGGCTAACATGGTGAAACACCGTCTCTACTAAAAATACAAAAACAAAATTAGCCGGGTGTGGTGGCAGGCACTTGTAGTCCCAGCTACTCAGGAGGCTGAGGTGGGAGAATGGCATGAACCCGGGAGGCAGAGCTTGCAGTGAGCCGAGATCGTGCCACCGCACTCCAGCCTGGGCAACAGAGCGAGACTCCATCTCAAAAAAAAAAAAAGAAAGAAATTTCTAATAGTAAAATAAAAGAGGAAAAAACAAATACTTTTGTATGCTAAGGGCTCTTCCCTGACTTTTCATGGGGTTCATCATTCAGGTCTCATCCTAAATGTCACTTCCTCTAAGTGCCCCTCCCAGATTACCTGTCCTATAGTTGCTCTCCTTCCCCCTCCCCACTCCTCTGCTTTTCATTTTCATAGTTTCAAAGTTGTTCTCTTTCATCACTCTCCTTTCCATTTTCCATAGCACAATCACTTTCTGTAATTCCTGATTTGTTTGTTTAGTTGATTACTGTCCCCCTGAATATGAGCTGCATGGGAGCAGGGGCCTGGCCTATCTGACATGCGGTAGGTGCTCGGGAAGTTTTTGGTGACTGACTGATAAAGGGCCCAGTAGCACATGCTGACATATGGTAGACAGCAGATGTCAGTTTCCCTCCTCCTCCTGCCTAGTTTGGCATCTTTTCTCCTGTCCTCTTTGATCTGTCACTTAACTAATCTGGGAAGGCCTTGCCTTAGCAACCCAGGGAGCCTAGCTGGTCTCCAGCATTTCACCCCCTTCTTGAGTATCTAGCTGATCTCTTGGCCTAGCCTTGGCCAGCCCCCAGCATTCAAACTTTGTCCCTTCTGGTATCCCTGTGGTTTCACTCTCCCACCTTCCCATCAGCTACTTCCCACTGATAGTCTCCAGGCACTGCCCCTTAGTCAGTCCCGTGACACTGGGAATTTGTCATGTCACTCAGGATAGAATTCTGTGTCAACCAGGGAACCTTCAGTTCAAAGTGACGGCAAATTGCTAAACAAAGAGGGAGCTTATTGGTTCTAATCACTGCCAGTCAGGCCCACTGCTGGAGTTGGGTGGGCTCAGCCCCACCCCACCACATGACTACCACATCTTGGGGGGCAGGTGGCAGCGGGGATTTGGGGGAGGTAACCAATGTCCTCTGTAGAGTCCTTCCTGGAGTGTCTGTAGGTCCTAGCCACAATTCTAGTTTATGCATTTGGGACACCACCTTTGCTAAGCCTAGACAGTATTGGATGCTGGGAGAGGGTAGGGAGTGGTACAGTGGTACATGAGGACTCAGAATACTGTCAGTGGTGCATGCTGAGATGGAGGTGGGCCGGGTGCTGGAGGAGCATTGAGGAGACAGCAACTGCCCAAGATACGTGGTCCCAGGCGTTTCACAAAGGAGAACAGGCCTGAGCTGGGAGCTTGCCAAGTACAGAAGGGAGGAAGGGGCATTCCAGGCAGAGGGAACAGTCTGAGCAAAGGCCTGGGAGTGAGACTGGGGCAGAGTAGACAGAAAGGAGGGCGATGGGGAAGGAAGACGTGCCAGTTCCCTTCCTTCTGATTCTGTCTCGTTTGTATGTTGCTCAAATCAAAAAGTTGCTTGACAGCTTAAAACAATATCCCACAGTAAAAGCTAGGTGGGTGCCATGGTTAGGACCTTTCTTGGAGTCTGCTGGGGCTCCTAGTGCCACAAGGGGAGCTCTGGAAGATCCTTCAGTGGATTATGTCCCCTTCCGCAGGGGACCATGACCTATGTCCCCTTTGTCACTCCATCCCCAGTGCCAGCCTGGGCTAGATCCTGAGTTCCTGAAGTTCCGCTGTATTTGCAGGTGCAAAGAGAAGAAATATGATTATGATAATTTGCCCAGGACATCTGTTATCATAGCATTTTATAATGAAGCCTGGTCAACTCTCCTTCGGACAGTTTACAGTGTCCTTGAGACATCCCCGGATATCCTGCTAGAAGAAGTGATCCTTGTAGATGACTACAGTGATAGAGGTGAGTCCCGGCCAGGGCTCTGGGAAGAGCCTGTCCTTCTGTAGCAGTGTCTGGGAGGTGAGAGTGGGATGCAGGAGGGCTAAAGTAGGCCCAGTAAGGATGGGCTTCCTGTATCCTCCTGTACCCAAGGAAGACCTCAGGGATAGTAGCCCAGAAACAGTAGGCGTGGGAAACTGGAAGGAGCAGGGCATTCTCTTGGCAGTTTCTGGGACTGTTCATTTCATTGGCCAGTGGAGGTGATGTAGGAGGTGAGGTTGCAGGATGGGCAGGGCCAGATCTGGAAGGGCCTTGGAGGCCACCATAAGGGGTTGAGGCTTAAGTGCAAGCTTGATGGGGAGCTTTGCAGACAGCAAGGTCCAGGTCCCTCTGAGGAGCTCACTGAGCCAGCTGTGCGGGGAATGGCCAATGGCAGGGGAGGGGCTGGGTGAGGATGGAGGCAAGGAGGGTGGAGGGGCCTCTGTGGTGCCCACATGCAGCAGAGCCTTGGCTTGGCTGGGACTGGCAGTGCCAACGGAGTAGCATCAGCCCGTGAATCCTTGGGGCCTAGCTGAAGTGAGAGCAGCTAAGCTTAACCAAGGACAAGTGTCAAGTCTGTAACAGCAGGTAGAGCTGTGGGCTTAGTCACTACAGCCTGTCTCAAAGGGAAGCAACCCCTGCTGATGGGGCATCTGCTGCCTCAGATGCTGCACTTGCTCTGACTTCAAAACTGGCCTCTGTGTGTTCTAATAGGTGTGTGCATTGGGCTGTTTTCACAGACTCAATAGTGACTCACACAAGATAGAAACAGGCTTCTCACATCACAAATCTGGTGTGCTAGTCTAGAATGGGTGTGGTGGCTCCTTGGTGGATGGGGCCTCAGCTCCTTCTGCACCTGTTCCCACCTTCTCTAGGGTGCTCTGCTGCCTTGGTCCTCATGGACCAGGCTGGTTTTTCACCTCCTACTCACTCTGGTCAACCAGAAGACTTAAAGGGGAAGGAGAGCCACACCCTTCCTCCCGAGGGCACTGCTTGGAAGTTCTCCACACATCCCATTGAGCAGAGCGTGGTTGCCTGGCCACGTGTAGCTGCAAGGGAGGCTGGGAGCTGTGGCCTTTATCCTGCTGGCTGTGTGTTCAGTTACAGGTCACAGGGAGAATGGGTTTAAGGCACAAGGAGCAGTGTCTGTGACAGCGTGTAAGCCAGGCTGGGGTAAGCCAGGCTGGGGTTTGGTGCTGACTATAGCCTAGAAGGCATTGGGTTCTGGGGTCAGGGCACCTGGGTCTGAGACGATGATCCAGTTATGGCACCTTGGGCGAGTTGCTTGTCTTTTCTGAGCCTCAGTTTCTCACCTGTGAATGGGTCTGTCCACACCTATCTCAAGAGAATTATAGTGGGGAATAAATGGGATCATGTATAGGACAGAACCTCATGTAGCAGCCGGCACATAGTAGGTGCTCATCTGCATTTCCTTTTTCCGTTTCCCCCCAGGGTCGTTTTAAATCTCTCCGTGTGGACATTGGTTCTGGGCCACACTGCACGGGCTTGAATCCCCCTCCCCCAACACCTAGCGACTAGACAACTTTGAGCAATGACCCTAACCAGTTTCAAACTTGGCTTCAGCCTCTATAAAATGGGAATAATGATAGCTTCTACCTTGTAGGATCATCGTGAGCATTGAATGAGATGAGGAGGGTAATGTGCTGGGTAGGTGCTTGGCATTTAGTGAGCTCTTGTTAGATGATAACTTCTATTTTTATAATGTTTAAATGTTTAAAAAGTTGCAAAATGAAAAAAACAGCATTTCACAAATATATTAATCTAAAGTCAAAGAGCGGATTATTTATTTTATAATAATGGGATTAAATAGCTCCTCAGTAGGCAGGAATACAGTAGAAATTCCTCTGACACATCTCAGTTCTCTCATAAAAATGTGAGGCAGTGTGGACCAAGCTTCCCTTCCTGTCATTGTGGGAACTTGGGAAAACAGGCATGATGCCCTGCTTTAACCTGTAATGAGTTAGGAAGTCCTGCCTTGCCTCCCCTCCCCACCATTTCTGCAGTGTCAGTGTAAGCTTGATGAAAGGGTGTCAGGCCCTCTCAGATGCAGGGAGACAGTTCAGGCAGACATAAAATTAATGCTGACAAGATCCATCACGAGTGCAGGGCAGCCATGCTGCACTCATGGGTTCACTGGGTACAGTAGCTAATTAGCTTTGCTTGCAAAATTACCTGCCTTATTCCTGCCATCAACTTATTTGTGGTTATAATTTGGATTTTTTTAAAAAATTGGCTGGGTGCGGTGGCTCATGCCTGTAATTCCAGCACTTTGGGAGGCCAAGGTGGGAGGATTGCTTGAGCCCGGGAATTTGAGACCAGCCTGGGAAGCATAGGAAGACCCTATGTCTACAAAAAATTTTAAAAGTAGCTAGGTGTGGTGGTGCATGCCTGTAGTCCCAGCTACTTGGGAGGCTGAGGTGGGAAGATTGCTTGAGCCCAAGAAGTTGAGGCTGCAGTGAGCCATGATCATGCCACTGCACTCTAGCCTGGCTGACAGAGTGAGACCCTGTCTCAAAAAAAAAAAAATCAACCAATTAATGCTTTTATTTATTGATTTATTTATAGACAGGCTCTCACTCCGGTGGCTGCTCTGGGCGGTAGTGTTAGCTTGTAGAATTTGGAGCCGGGTTCCCCTCATGGCTCTTCAACTTCCTTACTCTGTGACCTTGGGCAAGTTACTTAGCCTCTCCGGCCTCAGTGCCCTCATCTGTGAAATAGGGATAATACTATCACCTGCCTCAGAGGATTGTTATGAGGATCAGATAGGTTATCTAGAAATCACCTAGGTAGTACTTGGCACAGCAAGTCCTCTTTAGTTTTAGCTGCTATTATTATTGTTACTACTACTGAAACTGTAAAGTACTCCTGAGAAAATTTCTATTAACATAACTACTGTTTTTATAAAAATTGCGATTAGATGGTTCACGTGTTTTTTGGTTTTTAAATGCTCATGAGTCAAAACTGTAAAGCATTTTTTGTAACAGCTTTATTGAAATATATTCACACACCATTCAATTCACCCATTTGAAGTGTACAATTCAACGTGCATGTGTTTAGATGGGGAGCAAATGGTGGTTCTGGAATTCCTCCCCCAGCCTCCTCCTGGCCTTCGGAGCACTTCCAACCTTGGTTCTGGGTGAGGTAAGGATGT